>NC_000010.11:9252424-9403939 GCF_000001405.40 Homo sapiens | reverse complement strand
CCACATAAAAATATTACAAATGCTATTATAGTCTTCCAGTGAGCCACACAATATACTTTGTCCACAATTAACCAAATATGATAACTTGCTTTACTTTTCAGTTTACCTATTGTCTTAGCTAGTCTGGGTTGCCACAGCAAAGTAGCATAAACTGGGTGGCTTATAAGCAGTGGAAATGTATATCTCACAGTTCTGGAGGTTGGTTACCCAAGATCAGGGCTCCCGTGTGGTCAGATTCTGGTGAGGGCCCTCTTCGAGTTGCAGGCTCCAGTCCTCTTGTTTTACTCTCACGTGTTGAACAGAGGGCAGAAAAACTTTCTAGGGTTTCTTTTATAAAGGGCACTAATTCCACTGACAAGCACCCTACCCACATGATCTGATCAAATCACAAAGACCCCACCTCCAAGAGCATCACATTGGAGATTCAGATTTCAACATATAAATTTTGAGGGCACACAAACATTTGGTCCATCATATCCATTTATTTTATTTTTATTTATATTTTTTTGAGACAGGATCTCGCTTTGTCATCCAGCTGCAGTGCAATGGCGTGATCTCCACTCACTGCAGCCTCCACCTCCTGGGTTCAAGTAATTCTCCTGCCTCAGACTCCCAGGTAGCTGGGATTACAGACATGCACCACCACGCCTTGCTAAATTTTGTATTTTTAGTAGAGACGAGGTTTCATTATGTTACCCAGGCTGGTCTTGAACTCCTAACCTCAAGTGAACATGCATGCTCATTTTAAAGTTTTTATATTTTTATGAATCATTTTTAAAAATCCTAATAGGAAAATCCTAATAGGAAACAAAATCTCCCAATTCGAGAAAACTCTTTTATATACTCAAAGAGCATCTTAGCAGCCCTGAATCCCCAATTTCTCACACTCCAATTCCCCACAGGGTAAAATAATGAGGGTCAGATGTCCCTGTTCCACAGGGGAAGAACCATAAAATTATAAGACCCAGAAGCCATGAAGAGCACCTGGCGCTGTAGGGTCTAGCCCCACAGGGTCCGTGGGTTTTCTCCCCCTGTGTGGAGACAAGAGATTATAGAAATAAAGACACAAGACAAAGAGGTAAAAGAAAAGACAGCTGGGCCCTGGGGACCACTACCACCAAGACGTGGAGACTGGTAGTAGCCCTGAATGCCAGGCTGCGCTGTTATTTATTGGATACAAGGCAAAAGGGGCAGGGTAAGGAGTGTGAGTCATCTCCAATGATTAACAAGGTCACGTGAGTCACGTGTCCACTGGACAGGGGGCCCTTCCCTGCCTGGCAGCCCAGGCAGAGAGAGAGAGAGGGAGAGAGAGAGGACAGCTTACACCATTATTTCTGCGTATCAGAGACTTTTAGTACTTTCACTAATTTTGCTACTGCTAGCTAAAAGGCAGAGCCAGGTGTACAGGATGGAACCTGAAAGCGAACTAGGAGTGTGACCACTGAAGCACAGCATCACAGGGAGATGGTTAGGCCTCCAGATAACTGCAGGCAGGCCTGTCCACAAGAGGTGGAGGAGTAGAGTCTTCTCTAAACTCCCCCGGGGAAAGGGAGACTCCCTTTCCCAGTCGGCTAAGTAGCAGGTGTTTTCCCTTGGCACTGACGCTACTGCTATACCACCGTCCGCTTGGCAATGGGCATCTTCCCAGACGCTGGCGTTACCGCTAGACCAAGGATCCCTCTGGTGGCCCTGTCCGGGCATAACAGAAGGCTCACACTCGTCTTCTGGTGACTTCTCACCATGTCCCCTCAGCTCCTATCTCTGTATGGCCTGGTTTTTCCTAGGTTATGATTATAGAGCGAGGATTATTACAATATAGGAATAAAGAGTAATTGCTACAAACTAATGATTAATGATATTCATATATAATCATGTCTATGATCTAGATCTAGTATAACTCTTGTTGTTTTATATATTTTATTATACTGGAACAACTCATGCCCTCGGTCTCTTGCCTCGGCACCTGGATGGCTTGCCGCCCACATGGCATATCTGTCTCTTCTCCAATGAGGGAGAGAGAGAGGGAGAGAGAGAGAGAGAGAGATAGAGAGAGAGAGAGAGAGAGAGAGAGAGCCTCAGCCTCCCAAAGTGCTAGGATTACAGGTATGAGCCACCACCCACCATGCCCAGCCATTGCGCCCATTTACATGTAATTTAGGTTATAGCCTTATGAAAGCTTTCTTTTGTTTTTCCTCCATTCCCTTCATAATTCTTTGGCATTCCATGTTAGATATGTGGTTTTGAGGGCCTGTCTGAAGGCTTGCATATTTTAACCCTGGTAGCTTTGAGGATGAGACACTCTGGACTTTGAGAAATCTACCCTGATGAGACCAGTGCTGGATACTAGATAAAGAGAGAGGGAACTCAGACCGGACAGTTAAGACATGGGAGAGATGAAGAAAGCATAGAAACCATGTGCATTTGCATAATGCAAATTATGCAAAGAGAGTAGTAATGACTGACAGGTGATATATAAGTTGGTAGATAAGGAAGGATGTCCAAGACAGTAGGAGAGATGTAATGCTGGCAGTTTGGGGAGTACAGATGCTCTATGGTGCATGAAGGGGTTATGTCCTGATAAACCCATCATAAATTGAAAATATCCTAAGTCGAAAGGAGTGGCTGACTGGGACCTGTGGCTCACTGCCACTGCCAAGCACCATTAGAGAAGTATGATTTTCACTGAATGTGTGTTTCTACTTCACACAGTTATAAAGTTGGAAAATCTTAAGCCAAGCCATTGTAAGCCAGGGACTAGCTGTACATGCAAATCAGTTTGACCTTGATGTTGTTGAGAAGAAATGATATTCCCTGAATATTTCCCATCTTGTTTTCTTTGAAAGGAAATACCTAATGCAAATGACGAGTTAATGGGTGTAGCAAATCAACATGGCACATGTATACCTGTGTAACAAGCCTTCACATTATGCACATGTACCCTAGAACTTAAAGTAAAATAAAAATAAAAAAAAAAAGGAAACAAGACAAAACAAAACCTTGGTAAAAGGATAATTGAATGATAAATATGCCATGGAAGTTAGATGTAATAGATTGCCTCAAAAGAACAAAAAGGCCCCGGCACTTTGGGAGGCCAAGGCGAGCAGATCACAGAGTCAGGAGTTCGAGACCAGCCTGGCCAATATGGTAAAACCCTGTCTTTACTAAAAATACAAAAATTAGCCAGACATGGTGGCATGCACCTGTAGTCCCATCTACTCAGGAGGCTGAGGCAGAAGAATTGCTTGAACCCAGGAGGCGGAGGTTGCAGTGAGCTGAGATCATAGCCACTGCACTCCAGCCTGGGCGACAGAGCAAGACTCCATCAAAAAAAAAAAGAAAAGAAAGAACATAAAGGCTTATCTCTAAGGTCTCCTCTACTGTCCCAGAAAGCATCTATTTACATTGCAAAGCAAAAATCTCTCTCTCTCTCTCTCTCTCTCTCCTTGGAGAAAAGACAGATGTGCCAGGTGCTCTTCATGGCTTCTGGGTCTCATAATTTTATGGTTTGGGTACAGGGACATCTGACCCTCATTATGTTACCCTGTGGGGAATTGGAGTATGAGAAATTGGGGTCTCAGGTCCGCTAAGATGTTCTTTGAGTATATAAAAGAGTTTTCTCTAATTGGGAAATTTTGTTTCCTATGAGGACTTTTAAAAATCATAAATAAAGTTATAAAAACTTCAAAATGAGCATGCGTGTTCAGAGTGATTTGTCCAGTTGTTGAGATATTGTTGGGGAAACCACAATTAACAATATACATACTAGCCTTGTTAAGATAACCTTGAATTCAAATGATTCTGATTCTACCCTATCATCACCATGACATAAATTATCAGAATGTGTGAAAATTTTAGACAAAGGCAAATTGCATCTTTCATAATCCCTTTCTTTTGGAAAAAGCCCCCCAACCCCTGCCAAAAGAAGGGAGGGAATGATGGTACAGAGCAAGTTAGGATTCAGAGGAGGCTCAAGGTCTAGGGAGAGACTTTAGTTCTGGGCAGATGAGACAAAGTAGACGCCCAGTGAAATGGGTTCAGCTAAAACACTAAAGGAGTTGAATGGCTGCAACCTAGCAGATGCATTTGTACACTGCAGGCTGGGTCTTAATGCACACTCACAAAACTGACAGCAAGATCAATTACCTGCAGAAGGTGAAGCAGCTGATTCACATTATTCCCCGGTCAGGACTGACTCAACACTTCGCAGTGGGAGGCTAGAGGGACTCGTGGGCCGCACTTGGGATCAGCAGACAAAGGCAACCACTCTATTTTATTTTACTTAATTTATTTGAATCTTATTTAATTTTATTTTCTTATTCTTTTAATGCTGATGGTAGAGATGATTTTTAGCACAAAGAAAGTAAATACAGTGGCTTGCACTCTCCTACATCTATTGCTGGTAATGGTTACATGAATCTAGAAAAAAAAAAGAACAATACCAATAACAGCGGTTACTGTTTCCCTTCTCCTAACCTTCACTGACAAGGAAGAATGTTTTGCTATCTCTTGGGATTCATAAATAAATGCTAAGCACTCCAAATCCAGTAACATCTGATAATTTATGCAGTAATATTTGCAATGCACTGCTTTCAGTGTATGTGTCTTATTTCCCAGTAAGACTGTGAGATCCTTAAAGATAGGGATAATGTTTAATAGTCACTGTATATGAGTTGCAATCCTAGAAATAGTGCCAAGAACCTACAAAGCACTCAATAAATAATTATTTATTGATATAAAATCATTTGGAATAGTCCTAAATGAAACACAGTATCTTCATAGAGTTCACAAACAGGAACTCTTAGAGCAATTAATGCAAACAAAACAATATGTAGGCACTTCATTGGCAAACTACTGAAACCAATTTGACAATGAAATATTTGTAAATACTTAAATTTAAATATAGTCAAATGGAATTTTAAAGGCACATTATATGTAGCACAACAATAATACAAATTACCTCCATCTTGCTATCACAAATTCAAGTGAAAAGACAATACAGATTGGCATCTTTAAAATGTCAAAACAAAACAACTCTCTCAACTCAGAATTCAATTTCAAAAATGAAGGCAAAAACAGAAACACTTTAAGTTCAATAAACACCAAGAGAATTAATCTTCAGCGATCTTCCCTAACAGAAATACTAGAGAAAGCATCTCTCAGACTGATACCAGGCTGACATGTGGATCTACATGAAGGGCTAAAGAACACTGGCAGCTGGGTGTGGTGGCTCACGACTGTAATCCCAGCACTTTGGGAGGCTGAGGCAGGTTGATCACCTGAGGTCAGGAGTTTGAGACCAGCCTGACCAACATGGTGAAACTCCATCTCAGTGAAAAATATAAAAATTTAGCGGGGCGCGGTGGCGCATGCTGTAGTCCCAGCTTCTCAGGAGGCTGAGGCAGGACAATTGCTTGAACCTGGGAGGTGGAGGTTGCAGTGAGCTGAGATTGCAACACTGCACTCCAGCGTAGGTGACCGAGTGAGACTCCATCTCAGAAATGAATAAATAAAGAAAGAAAGAAATATGAAATAAAAAAATAAAGAACACTGGCAATTTTAAATGTAAAAGGCATTTTTCTCGTTTATTATCTTTAAATGATGAATGACTCTGTAAAGCAAAAACTAATAATAAATTATAAAGATTGCACATGTATGAAACTAAAATGTATGACAACAATGAGGGGGTAAATGGAAGTATCATGTTTAAACTTCTTCAATTATACTTATATTGATATGATATTATTTGGAAGTGGACAGTGATAAGTTACGGATTCATATAATAATGTCTTAAGAAAACACTAAAATATAAAGATATGAAGTCAAAAAGCCAGAGGAGATAAAATGAAACATAAAATACTGAATTAATCCAAAGAACTCCACAAAGGAGGAAAAAAGAAAGAAAGAAAAATTGGAAATGTAGGAAAAGAATATTTTGGTTGAACTTATACACAACAACATCAATAATTACATTAAATATAAGTAGACTACGCTCTTGAATTAAAAGGGAGAGTTTGTCACATTGGCTAAATGAGCAAGACTCAAGTCTACTGCTTGTAAGAGATGTGCTTTATGTATAAAACTGTAGAAATTTTATTTAATACGAGTAAAATAATGAAAAGGTAGATATGCAAGCCATAAGAAAGCTGGAGTGGCTCAGTTATTATCAGAGACAGTGGACTAAGAGATCAGAATTAACATTATAGATAAAGAGGGATATTTAACAATGATAAAATAATTATTTATCAAAAAGTCAAAACAATACTGAATTTGTGTGTATCTAATAGTATACCTTTACAATATATAAATGAAAATCGGACAGAACTAAAATAAGAAATAGTCAAATCTACTCTTATGAACAGAGATTCTAATACTCCTGTTTCTATGATTGAAAGAAAAGTAGAGACTATGCCATTTAGAAATTAAATATTTTAATTGTAGCTACTAGAATTAAGGTAATACTGGGCTTATTTTACTTTGTATCTTCTCTCCTGTTGTCATGATTTTGTTACTTCTATCATTTCTACATTCTTGTAGTTTACAACACTTATTTTCATTCTGATTATTTGGCTCTGGTTTCTATTTTTGTATTGACCTACAGTTAAATATACTCAGCTCCCACCACTGGGTCTTTGCTGTAGTTTTCTCTGTCGGTTCTTGGTTGGTAGGAATTTCTCCTCTGGTGTTTTCTCACAATGAGCTCAGTGGAAGAATAGTCACAGAGTTGTTAAAATTCAAATCTGTTAGACAGTATAATTAAATTTAACTAAAATTTTGTCTGAAAATAAAACTTTGACTTACCATTTATTTCCTTGATTTTCTTATAGGTATCGTTCCAATATTTGTCATTCAATTTTGCTTCAAATTTTACAAACTGGCTTTTAATTTTGCTTATCAACCTCCTTTTGTAAGTTTTTGTAGTTTAAATACAATTTAAACTACAATTGGGGGAGAATTCCTCCTTTGGGTGCTCGTTATCTATACACACTTTCTCTAGTTCTTTTTTTTTGTTGTTATGTTTCCTTCGTTTGTTCCTTTACTCACTATATACACCTATGATATCTATTCCATTCTATGCTTGTTATTTCATCTTTATTTGTAAACTGTTATTTTTTTAATTCCTTTCCTGAGGTTTTTGTTTTGTTTTGGTTTGGTTTTTGGTTTTTGGTTTTCTCCTTTTTCTTGTTATCTGGTCTTTAACTTTTGTTCTTTTATGTATATGTTTGATTGCTTCATTAAAGTTTTTTTCTTTACTTCATACTGAAATTTTGGTAACAATATTCATCTATTGTGTGTCTACTGATAGTAGATTTAGAGTTTTTGAGCTCAATTTAACTTTTCTTTTACAATTTTATTGTACTGTGCTTATTTTTTTCTTGTTTCACTGCTTAATTCTGAATGAACTGGATTTTTAGAAAACTATTAGCAGACACGTCCTTTGGAGAAGACAGGGGTCAGGAATTTGTTGCTACAGCAAGGGACTCTCCACTCATAGTTGCACCTGCTTTGTGTAACTTCCTCATCTCTTCCGACTCCCAGAACCTACCAGACTCAGGAGAACTTTGTGTAACTTCCTCATCTCTTCTGACTCCCAGAACCTACCAGACTCAGGAGAACTTTGTGTAACTTCCTCATCTCTTCTGACTCCCAGAACCTACCAGACTCAGGAGAACTTTGTGTAACTTCCTCATCTCTTCTGACTCCCAGAACCTACCAGACTCAGGAGAACTTTGACAGCTGGTACAGCCACAAGGATTCTGTAGCCCTTGCTACCCAGGCACAGTAACTGTTTACCTAGGTAACTTGCATATCCTTACGAAGTGTACTTTCTGCAGGCACAACTCTGGGTTTCTCTGGGCACTTTCTATATCTTTTCTCGCTCCACAGCCATTGGTTTTGTCCATGTGCCCTCTCATTTAAAGGGAATCTTCATTGTCAGTCTCTGTGATCGCCATTGACTCTCTGTACTTCACGCTTTGTTTACCTGTAATATGTAGATAAGATAGTACCTGATAGGGTTGTTATGAGGTTTAAATGAGGTCATCTTTGTAAGTCACTTAGAAAAATCCCAGGAACATAATAAGCTCTAGTTAAGCATTTGTTCCAAGAAACAAACAAATTTGCACCCTCTACACCCCCTCATGACTCCCACTCCTTCCTGGCAGGACTGTCACTGCTTCCCACATGGGGTTTTCTGGCCTCAGAGGTTTTGGCAGTAGTCATATATTATTTGAAATTTGTAGATTTTCTCCAACTCAGAGTCTCACTAAAAATATACTTTTGCTTCCCTCATTATTTCTTTTTGTTTGGTTTCTGGGGGAAAAAAAAACTGTGAGAACATTAGGAACATGCTCCCATAATCATCCAGCAAAATTCACCGGCAACTTACACCTTTGGCATCACTTGTAAGCACTCCCCTCACTTAAGAGAGAACTCTCAAATTAGCCTGACAAGGAAATAAAACATCGTCCCTTTGTTGTTTGCCTCATCATTCCATACGTCATTAGATATATTTCCAGAAACTGGATCAATCAATCCAACCAATCAATATTAAAGGGATTAACTATGAGAAAGAACAAAAATGTCCTCAAGTCTCAGACAAAGTAAATAAATCTGTTCTCATATGAAGATGCCTGTCATGGGCTTGACATTTTTATCCACACACACAGACCCCACTGCCTGGTCCCTGGAGCATCGCTGGACTCATGGGCTTGGTGTTCCTCTGGGCACATCCATGCTAACCCAGTGGTCCAAAGTCAAATAACACAAGACATGTTATTGTTTTGTTAAAACATGACTATTTTTCTTACAAGCGAATGACAAAAATAATAATTTCCTTAATACCCAGGTAACAGCAATGACATTTTCCCAAGCTGGTTTTAGCAGCCTAGCAGGAACACAGCAGCAAACAGTGTGAAAATTAAGAAGCACATTAAGCTCATTTGCATACACCCACACACTGAAAATGCAAAATTTATAAATAAAATTACAAAGAATAAAAAAGTGAGAACACATTTTTAAAAATCAAAGCATTTGGGAGAAAAAATGAATAACAGAGCTTATTCAACAAAGCTGAAACTTCTTATGAACCCAACAGGATTTATAATGGTCAGAATTGGCTGTTCTGTGAAGCAGAGAAAGATGAAGTCATCTCTCTTTCTCTCTTTTTTTTTAAAATGTCAGAAAATAGAACAAAATGAAATAGGGGGACCCATTGCTGGTGCTTATATGTATCTCAAAATCTTCCCTACATCCAAATGATTAGGCAGATAGAATCCAAAAACACTTCTATACTTGCTTATGAATTCTAGGTTTAAAGACACCCTTACCCTCCAGTTAGCAGTCACTGAATGCTTGCACCAAGGAAATTTGGAGTTTGTAGATTGTGATGGACTGAATGTTTGTGTCCTCCTCCCAAATTCCTGTGTGGAAATCCTAACCCCTAATGTAATGGTATTAGGAGGTGAGGTCTTTGAGCAATGATCAGGTCATGAGGGTGGAGCCTTTGTGAATGGGATTAGTATCTATATGATAGAGACCCCGGAGAACTACCTGGTCCTCTTTCCTGCTTGTGAGGGTATAACAAGAACGTGACCACCTGCAACCTGATGACAGCCCTTACCAGAACCTGACCATAACCAGGCTGGCACCCTGATCTTGGGACTTCCAGCATCCAGAAGAGTGAGAGATAAATTCATGTTGTTTAGTAAGTCACCCAGTCTGTGGCACCTTATAGTAGTCTGAGCTGATTAAGACACAAGCCTACTAACCAAGATCATTACCTTTCTGATTTAGTCTGTAAGAAGAAGAGACATTCTCAAAACCCCATGCTTATGACTTTTGATAGCTGAAGTCCACTTAAATAGGAAACTGGCACTAATCTCTATTGTCATCAATCATGTAACATGTTCCTTTTCCACAGGTTGAAGAAAGAAAATGGCAAAATGGAAAAGTCCATACTTACAGAAACCAGGGGAGTAGGAGGAAGCAATTCTATCTTCAGCAAGTTTTTATTTATTTATTTATTTATTTTTGAGATGGAGTTTTACTCCTCTCACCCAGGCTAGAATGCAATGGCGCAAACAGCGCACTGCAACCTCCACCTCCTGGGTTCAAGCGATTCTCCTGCCTCAGCCTTCCAAGTAGCTGAGATTACACACGCCCACCACCACGCCCAGCTAATTTTTGTATTTTCAGTAGAGATGGGGGTTTCATCATGTTGGCCAGGCTGGTCTCAAACTCCTGACCTCAGGTGATCCACCTGCCTCAGCCTCCCAAAGTGCTGGGATTACAGGTGTGAGCCACTGCCCCCGGCCTGTTTATGTATTTGTTTTTAATATAGCCTTAAGGATACATTTGTGGAAGTAAGTGAAGCCCATCCAGTTGAGAATACAATCTTGATTCAGGGCTTGCTATGACAAGGGAGTTGGCCACCAACACTTTTGTTTGCCCAATGCTTCCAAGCACAGAGGGGTGTGGGAAAGATTTATAGTGGGTTGGGGGGAAGAGAAGGCTTCAGCTATGCTATGGCTGGAGGTTGTTGGTATGGAGAAGCTGAGGTTGGCTTAAGGAGAAACAGATTATCTTATGTGATTGGCTGGAGAGCATATTTGGCTTTTTCTAGTTTGTCTTAAGTGGTAGGTGGTCATCATTGATTAAGTCTTGACTGTTTAGGGATGACTGAAGCAGAACTTGGGGTTTGGCCTTCTGGGCTTCTTACCTAGGTGAGAGATGTATTGTCATATTTCGTTTGGTTGGTGTCTGTATATTCAATCTGTCAGGTTGAAAGATTTTGATCAAAGTGCAAGGCATATTGAGAATGCAATATTTGCTCCTGTTTCCTTTGAAGAAAAGTCAGAATATTAGAGTGCTGAGGGCACTGAAAATTAAATCTACCTAGACTGAATGGGAAGTTGATAGCCCATTAAGAAAGCATGTTTAATGGCAAACCAAGCAATAAAATACTGTCATTCCCATGTAGAAAAAATGAACCACATTTTTCTCGGAAAACAAAATTGTATGATGTTGTCACAAGAATGATTTAGCATAACAGTATCTAAAACCAACAGGTCTTCAATAAATTGTTACATGTGAGCAACTCAGAAAACTTTACATTATATTAATATTAATTTGATTAATAAAATGTTAATTAAATTAATATCTTTAATCTTTTATACGTTTATATAGTGTTTCATCTGTAGACCTATTTGTCTGAATAGAAGCAATCTATTAATGATTAACAGATACAAACACCTTTTGATTTCCATAACTGTCTCTCAGTCCTGCAAAAATAAACCTGTGCATTTTTTCATTTTTCCTAATTCTTCTTAGAAAAATTTTAAATTCCCTTCTCTTTTATCTCATCGAATCATGAAAGACATATGGATATATTATAGTATGTAGCTAGTCAGGCATAATCAGGGCCGGAGATGGCTCCCCCTTGCCACACCAGGAATGTCAGGAGATGATCTGGTGATGGTCAGGCAGTTGTTAATTGTCTCTCTAAAATAATAATTGGTCACAGCCAGTGCCAGGGAAAGGCAGGCCCCCAGCAAATAGAAAACACCTGAAGCTAGTGATAAGCAGCTTCCTGAGAAGATTCAGGAGTTGGGAAGGTGGGCTCAACTATGTGCATTAAGAGAGAAAATGGTGGAGTTTAACTTGTATATGAGCTGCTAGGAACATTCAGCTGGGAAGGGAAGAAAGCCTTAAGTGAGTATGCGTACAACTCCAGTAAACACACTGGGCATGTTCACCTCCTGAGGGCTAGCAGGCCACTGCGCATGCAGAGAGCCCAACCCAAGGAAAGAATCAGGGGAAAAGGGATGCAAGACCCTGGAAGCGTGCCTATAAAACCCCAAGTCAGAAGGTCAAACTGGGCACTTGCTCTCTCAAGTTGCCCTCTTGGTTCACTTCCAAGTGTACTTTACTCCCTTTCATTTCTGCTCTAAAGCTTTTTAGTAAACTTTGACTCTTGCTGTAAAACTTGCCTCAATCTCTCTGCCTTATGCCCCTCAGTCAAATTCCTTCTTCCGAGGGGGCAAGAATTGAGGCTGCATGCAGACCCGTAGGGATTCACCACCACAAACATACATTGGTGCCACATGACTCAGATATCTTCTGCTGCTAAGAGATACTATCTACAATTTGTTATTTGCTTACATATTTTGTGACAATTTTTTTTTTTTTGAGAGAGTCTCACTCTGTCATCCAGGCTGGAGTGCAGTGGGGCAATCTCAGCCTCACAAAAGCCTCCACCTCCTAGGTTCAAGTGATTCTCATGCCTCAGCCTCCAGAGTAGCTGGGACTAGAGGTGTGCTCTACCATGCCTGGCTAATTTTTGTATTTTTGGTAGAAATGGGATTTCACCATGTTGGCCAGGCTGGCCTCAAACCCCTGACCTCAACTGATCCACCTGCCTTGGCATCCCAAAGTGCTGGGATTACAGGTATGAGCCACCACGCCTGACCTGACAAAATATTTTTTAATTCGTTTGTTTTTTAATGATATTTGTTTGGTTTTGGGTGTACAAAATTTTAATAAACTTTCAATTCACTAAATAAGGCTTCTAAACTCACTAAATCTGTTGAAATAATTTGGTAAACGTTTTCCATTCTTAACCATCTAGATACTGCAGTGGGTATTTTTCTTCTTGACTTACTTGACCTCTGGGCTGTGTTGATTATTTCTTTTCTCATGAAACTCTTTCTTTCCTTAAATTCCATGTGTGAGAATGTAGGCTGGCTTTACTCCAGTCTACGAAAATGGATATATATACTGACTTTGTAAGAAGAAGGTTAGATTCAAGGGACTAAGGTCTTTACAAAATGGCAGAATTAAGATCTGTTTACTGTTCACTCCAAATGAGCCATAACTAGATAGTGACTCCAGTAGGTAAGAAGAAAATGATAATCTGATCAAATAATAAGGAAAAATGAATAAATGGAGGAAAATGGTGGTCCAGATGAAATATTAAGTGTAATATATTTCTAGATATTTGTGTGCCTTTTCCTTCATCTTTTTCTTACTTTCTGCATTTTCCTTGTTTATTGTCTCCCTCCCCGCCCCGCCACCCCTGTTCAATGAATCTCTGAATCCTCTCTCCCACATCTATTTCTTTCCCCTTAAAATTTCTAAGGAACACTGGGTTCCATCTTAGACAATAAAATTATTTTCTTTTTGTTAAAGTTCAATTGCTTCCCAGTCTCATGAATGCCCCTGTGGGAAAATCTTGCAGCCAAAGTTGTCTAAACTCCTACTCCCTTTTGCTTCTGGCTAACACAGGAGATTTAATAAGTAATGAAGAATCTGCAAAAGAATATATACTTCTGCAAAAGATTTGGCTAATGTGTCTGATATTTTCTATGAAAAACACACATCGATTTTTGTATTAAACTATTGGCATGTGTTCAACACTTGCATGTGCAGTTGTCCTGGGCTAAGACCAAAATTAATGTATGGCTCTTGGGGCATCCTGGACAAACACAAAGAATGATTTATGACAACATGCCATTCAAATGAAAGTCATAATTGCTTTCTAGACATAAAGAAACTTATCACTGCTTTTGGTCAATATCTTTTGTTTGGAAACTTACACTGATTTTACCTGAGAATGCTCTGTTCATGTAGGTGGATGATAGTGACTCTTTTCTCTGGGCTTTTAATATGATTTGTATCTCTCTCCTGAAAATATAAAAGAAATTACAGAATTTCATTCCTGTCAAGTAAAAACCTTACCAACAGTCTAATATGACTTTATCACTTTAATGGAGAGGTGAAGATGGTCTCCATGGCTGATGGTTGTATTTTACCTTTTTAGAAAAGAAACCATCATGAAAGAAATCCCAGTGCTTCCAATAACACATTCGCCATCAACAGACACACAAATAATTCATAGAGAAATAATCTTTGAAAAACACAAATCTAAATATTGGAGTACATTGCTTTTATTTTCTCTACTCAATTCACCCTATCTTTGTTACTCTCTGTCTAAATATGCCAAAGCTAACTCACTTTTTGTCTAAGAATGTACGATGGATACATTGATATTAGGGAAAGAGTTTCCTAAGATCACTAGAATCTCTAGTTTTAATCAAATTTTTTAAATCCCACTTGGAATATATATATTTCATTACAGCATTTAGCAGGCTCTATACAAGCCATATGCTATATTCTTAACCTTCTTTCAACAAATGCAAACTAACTAATAAATGCAAGTCGTCGATATTCCCACTCCTGTCTCAGAAACTCCCTAGGAAGCTGCTAACAGTGTTTAAAACCATGCTATTATTCTTTTCTATTTCTACCCACTCTGTTTTCCCTATTTTCAAGTCTGCTTATGCCTTTTGAACTTGTAACCTGGGTGAGACTTGCCCTGCTCCAACTCAGTTTTTTGATGTCCTCAAAAAACTAACACTGTAGCTTCTACCTCACTAGACTTTCTTAGATTCAGTCTCCAGCACAAGTCCCTCCCCTGGCTCTCCTTTGAGGCCCATCAAAATGAGTGACTCAAGTACCCACCAGTTAAAATGTGGAGAAAGAACAATTTTAACACATGAAGAAAAATGCAACCATACAAATTGAGGGCCCTTCTGCCTTAAGCATTTGTCCAAAATTCTCCAATAATAGTTGTATATAAAAAATGAATTCCCTGTCAGAAGAATAGTAACACATTATCCACACCTAGTATGATTCAGCTTAAGGAGTTTTGTCTTAATAACTATGTCAGATACTGTATTTGAAGGAAATATAAGGACACAAAACATAGAATAGAGAAAGATGATTTTCTGCAAGCAAAGCTCTTTAGAGTATCATGCAATTGCATTCTACACTGGGGCTCTACAGAGCTAAAGGGCATTCTCTGGAGGGTCATAAACTAGGAGGAAACTGCATAGTAGTTACCTGGAGAAACACAGGGGACAGACTACGTAAGCAAGATGTTCTGAAACAAACAAACCAACTTGCGAGCCAAATTACCCGCCTCAGTTACTAATTATGTGATCTTTGCTGATGAGCTAAATTACTTCAGTTCCATTTTCTTACCTGTAAAATAAGTGTTGGAGTTAACTTCTCATTGTTATGGAATAAAATTAGACACATAGCCTTGTAAGAATAATATATATATATATAAAATATATGTATAATATATACATATACAATATATATTATACATTATATTATAAGAATAATATATAATATAATATATACATACTATACAATCATGGTTGTACATAAAAAGTGGATTCCCTATAATACGAATAACACAATAAGACTAACCCACATAAGCAGGTGGGTTAGTCTTATGCATTTATGCCTAGTGTTCCATTATTGGAATGCTAAGCATGTGAGAGTTATTTATATCCTACTGCTCAAGGTCATTGCCAAGGTCTGATTTTTCACTCACACAAAAATTCAACAAATTGCAAGCTCTGGCATAAATATGTATATATTTTATATAAATAGATAAATTATCTATTTTTATATAATAATATATTACTGTATTATACATCATATGCTATATGATGTATAATACAATATATTCTCTATATGTATATATTGTATATATGTACATACATATATTATATATTATGTATATTATATATTATATATTATGTATATTTATATAAATAATGTATTATATATTATGTATATATTCTGTGTATATAACACAATATATTATCTATAATATAATATGTATATGTTATATATTATATATGTATATATACTATACACATATCACAATACAATACATTATCTGTAATATGTATAGTTGTATATATGTATATACATATATTGTATATGCATAATATATAAAAATAATGTATAATATATTATACATGATATAAATATACATAATATATGCAACATATGCAATATGTAATATATAATATATAAATAATATACAAAATATATAGATTGTTTTTAAGCATGTGAGGCACCTGATGTATGACACAACTGGGTCCTGATGCAATGAAATATATATGTATATATAATGAAATATATATTATATATCATATAGATATATAATATACATGTACATTATATATGTATATATATTATATAATATATCATATGTTTGTGTATAATATCTAGCTGAGGCTAAACCTGTTAGGAATTTTTAATTCTATAAGTATGACAGAGAAAGAAGTGGGAATAGCAGTACAATTTACTTGCCTTCTCCAAAATTTTTTTTCCTGCCACTGCATAGAAAATAGAGTGCATTTTGTTAAGAGTAGAAAAGAAAAAAAGGTAAAATTCAACATGCCCACAACTACCTGGACTTCATATTTTCATTAGTCACATTAATCAAATAACTCCAAAGCCATAATGTAGTAGAAAAAAACCCTAGATCAGGACCCCTAAGTTTGAATGGTGGCTGGATTCCTGATAGTCTATTTCCATTTGTACTGTCCAGTCCTCTCTAAAGCTCACTTTTCTAATCTGCCAAAGGTGAAGATCAATACTTGTCTATCAGGGTTTTATGATTAACAAATGACAAAGGTGGGTAAGAATGCACTGCAAAGTAAAACACCATGAAATGTCAGGGTGAATAGTAGCTTCTATACTCTATTGATTAATGGTTCTCCTCAACAATTTTAATTGTAAAAATATTTTCACTACAATTATATAAATCTGATGCAGAAAACTAAGACAAGACTTCTCTTGTGTTGCATCTGAACACCTGGACCATAAGCGTCTTATGTGTTGCTGTAGGAAGAGTCCACTACCAAGGGTCTGCAGTAGGGGCAGTTCCCTCCAACCCCTTATGTGTGGAAGCTCCAGACATTCAGAATCGAAAGAAAAAGGGAGAAGGTGAGAAAAGTTGCCTCCATGAGAATCCAACTGCTATTAGGCACAAATCAATGGTTTAGCACATACTGCTCGCTACCTTGAAGCATGAGCTCAATTTCACAACTACTTGAAGCGAATCCACTAAAGAAGTTCTATGAATACCGATAATGTAGTTTCCACAGCACGCCTTTTCCTACAAAGTACCTATTTTTTTATTTTCTAAGTGCACCACCTTTTCAAAGTAAAGAGAAAGAAGTGCTTTTCTTCCAGACTTTCCTCGCACCTCGAATTTCGTATTTTACTATTTGTCTGCATTTAGACAGGTGAATAAGAACTCTTTTCATTGCGTCAGGACTCAGCTGATGTGTCAGGCATCAGGTGTCTCACATGATTCAGAAAAATCTAATTTTATCAAGACAAGAGAGCAAAGTCCCTGAGACTTTTCCGTTGGCCTTGCATTCAACTTATGTGAACATTACTGTTAATAATAAAACTCTTGAATATTTGTAATTATCATTATCTCTTGGCAATTAAGGGAACCATTTTGCTATGATAAAACATTTCAAAAGTTTGAAAGGAGAAGATCCCCAGAGTGGCTATTAGTCTGGATTATTTTATTCTTGATATTTTAGTATTCACTCAAGATATTTCAACATTTATATATTGCATTGTTGATTTCTTTATTTTTTCTCCACTCCCATTTTCTCCCTTTCTTTCTGCTGTTCTAATTCATATTTTATTTCTAGAGGGTTCTGCCTCCCTCTCTGCTTGTTAATTTATTGTTGAGAAAAATGATACACTAATAAAGTAAATGCTCTTAAAATACAAAGTCTTGATAATTCTTATTTCCACTAATTAACACAATCTCAAGTTTCAAGCTATAAAAATGCTATATTCTGTGGGTGATTTCTTTGCAACATTTAGAAAGAAAGAGATACTATATATAGTCTTCATCAGTCTGAGTAAAGAATCATAAATGAGTTTTTTATTTTTTTCCTCATGGCAGCAAAATGTATTGTTCCCACTAAATATTCATGTAGTTTAAATATATATGTATGTTTATATAAATATTTATATATAGTTTATATGTGTATATATTTATATTAAATATATTTGTATATATATTTATATTTAATATATACATATATTTTATGAATATAGTAAAATATAAATATATACCTATATTAAAAATATATGCATATATATGTACATATCTGTATGTATGTAACTATATATTGTGCATATATATTTGTGTTTAGGTATATATATGTGTGTATATATACACGTAAGTTTTAATCAACCAAAAATTTAAAAACCTATGTTATGGAGCAGTTCTCATATAAGAATTTGAAAATTCTGATATTCATACTGATTCTATTCTTGACAAAGTGGTGACCTTCACCATTTCAGCAATTACCGACTGAGTGCCCACTACATGCGATCTTTTCTCTATATGCCTGTGGGGGAAATAAAGATGACTAAGGCTAAACTGTTTCCATGAAATTTCATGCCAATTGGCATAGGAAATAAGATGCCCACAATATCCTATAAAACAAGCAAAAATTAATCACCTGTTGTGACAAATTCAAATGATATGAAATGGGAGCCTGAAATAGAAGAAGATATTTGCTTCTAGGGATTATCCATGAAGACTTCAAGGGGGAAGTGAGGTTTCCACCAGGTGGACCGTAAAGTTTACTTATCCTTGAGTGCTAATGGGCAGAGCAATGAAGGAAAGATGAGTGGTCCAAGCAGCTGGAACAAGATGAGCAATCCACGGAGGCTACGGAATGCAGAATGTGCTCTAAGCTGGGTAAGTGGGGCAGTTGGACAAATAATAGCGTGTATGAGGAAAATTAATTAGAGATAATGCTAGACAAGTAGATCTGAAATTTAAGCTACATTCATTCTGGAATGGAGTCTGGCTTAAATGTATATAAATGGCGATGCACCACATAAGGATGTTTCATCAACAATGGACCACATAGGCAATGGCTGTCCTGTAAGATTATATAATAACACTGCATTTTGTACTTTACCTTTTCTATGTTTAAATATGTTTAGATAGACAAATACTCACCACTGTATTACAATGGACTGCAGTGTTTAGTTCAGTAACATGCTGTACATGTTTGTAGCCCAGGAGCAATAGGCTATGCCATATAGCCTAGGTGTGTAGTAGGCTCTACCATCTAGGTTTGCATTAAAGTGCACTCTATGATGTTCACACAGTGATGCAATCACCTAACAATGCATTTTTAAGAACGTATACCCATCATGAAGTGATGCATGGCTATAGTTTAACGAACAATGTTTAGCCCTTAAGTCAACAGACACACTATTTCTAGTCAAGCAAAAATTTTAAATGAAAGGTTTTCCTTTCTCTTGCATTGTTTTTCCTTATAGCTGTGGCAGAATGTGCATTTGACCCCAATTGTAACCATCAAATATATTGGTAATATAGTTCGTAAGTTTAATTTAAAAATGCAAGCAATCTCCTTTTATATTGCAACAAGTTCCTTGCTGAGTTGACGAGCATATGTCTTTTCCAGAACCCAGTTCTTTCATTTAAAGAGGTTAATGAATTTTAAATGTGATGTATATTATTCCTCGCTTCTAGCTCAAGTTTCCTGAGATAGCCCTGAGGCATTTATTTCTCTAGAATATGGTGCTATTTGTTTGTTTGTTTGTTTGAAAGAGAACTATATAGTTAGTGGTATTTTGACCCCAAGATCTATTTTTGGAAGACATATCTGAGTTGCAGAATTGGAACAGTAAAGTCTTTTCATCTTTCTTTGATATTAACACAGGAGGACTCACATTACAGAATTCATTCTTGAAGTACAGTATAAAATGTGATAAAAATCAACAAGCCACGTCACTGATTTTTAAGGAAACTATTAGCATAGATATATTATACTCTGAAGGTTTTATATGGAATCAGAAGAAATGTTTTGTAGCCCAGACAAGCACTGAGATCTTCCAGTGACTTCCTATAAAATATATCTGTACATAGTAGTAATTTATTCATTAATATGCTTGCATTGGGAAACACATGTTTTTTCTGCATAACGCAAAGATACTCAGCTTGACATTCTCCTGAGGTATCTGCTAACAACATAAGGAATGGCAGAACACAGTCACTTAATGTAACAAAACATGTTATCAGGTTTATTTCCTTTACTTATCACCCATGTGTTATTCTCCATTTTTAAATTGATTCATCTATCACACAATTACTCTCTCTTAAACTCTAAATATTCTATTTATTTAGAGACTTCCTTTTTAATTTTTTTCCTGAATTCCTGAATACTTATTCTCATATCCTTCTAAATTTCTCATATTATGTTGCTTCTTCATGAAAAATGTATTGCATTCCAAATTGTCAGATCCTTTGATCACCTCGATTCTTAAAAATCAATTTCCTTTCCTACAAAGCTCAAATCCTTAAGACTGTCTTGTTCTTCAGCCTGTCATCAAAATAACATTCTCTACTTCCAAAACCTTAAGTAGCTCTGCAAACTGCATTCTAAATAGAAGCTAATCAGTAATGCAATTACTCCTTTTGATTCTTTATTTATCAAACTGCATTGAGACTTCCCAGGAATCTTTTTACCTTTTAAAAAAATTCTAACAATACATGGTGTTGTGAAAGTCTTCTTTCTTTAAGCTGATAATAGTATTGCCTGAGTAACCCTAGATATAGATGTTTCATTGAGTTTGACTTGTTTCTTGTCAATGTATGGTTTTATATATATGCAAATTAAATTGTCTATCCCATTTTCTGACACAGTCAGCAAACTTTTCTTCAGCTTAAGAAACTGGATATATCCATGTGGTCCTAACAGATGAGTTTCTTCTAAAAGTCACTTGATTGAATCAAAGACATTGGTGTTAGCCTCCCTGATATCTGTAAGGAGGCAGTGGTAAATATAGGTATTTAGCCATAAATTTGATCGTTTATCAGGCAAGTAAGTTGTCAGAAAAAAGTAAGAAGAAAAAAAATTATCAGTGAAACAATGGAAGAGATATCACTAAAAATTCCAAATTATGCATAAGTGCTGCTGAAAATGAGGCAGAATCTGGCAAGAAATAATGACGGGAAGCAGCCATTGGAGTGCCAGGAAGAGCAGGAATTCTGGAAACCTCCTAGCCATGGTAGTGCTCAAAACTATCCCCACACCTCCCCAGGCACTGGAGGTAGGAGGTGAAAAGATAAAATGCAGAAATCCTGGGTGGGAGCAAGTCCAGGGAATGCAGGTGGCAGGTCTCACAAGGGGGCCAGAAAATTTGAACGCCTTTTAAAAGTGGGTTAATGAGGTTGTGCCCCTTAATGACTGTAGCCTGGGAGAAACGAATGGAGCATAGTGGCAGAAGATGCCCTTCAGAGGCAGAAGAGATTCCGAAGGGCAGAAGTAGAGGGGTCTATGTAGAGGTGCCTGGATCAAATAAACAGGAGAAAGAGCTTTGATCTGAGGGCATGAACAGTAAGTGTGACTCACCCCAGAGACACCTCCTGGAAAAATCATGTCCAGGAAAATGATAGTCACCCTAACAGAAACAGACTCTTGCATTTTGATCTTTCTTATTTTCTTGGGGTCCTAATTCTCCTGTTTAGGACCCTCACCTGTGTCTAGAATTGGGTTGCTGCCATATGTGAGGAGGGTATGAACAACTTTCTTTCCGGGATCAAATTGAAACCAGAGCATGTGGTGACAATGCAATTACTCAAGTTGTCTCCACTGTGACAGAGGAATGAGCACAAGAGGAGGGCGAGTTGTCTAGAGATCAAGTGACTGTAGTACTAATTGAAATTCTGACAACAGTGATTGTAAAAATTACAGAATCGCCTGGCAGCTTCAGAGGACATGAGAGCGTGTACACAAGGAAAGAGCTAATGGAAGACCATAGATGTCCCATTCAGACCACAGCTCCATGGTGTGTTTGATCCTGCACACCCCAAAAGAAACAGAGGCTTGCATTGTGTTCTTTCTTATTCATTGGGGTCCTAATCCTCCTGTTTTGTGTCTCTGCTGATTCTAACTTATTATACATCACCAGCTCTCGTAGTTTGTCATGATTATTCCTGATTGAATCTTTAGTGTATTTTTTTTCCTATGTAGGATCCTCATGCAATTCATATTGTAGAAAGTCCCTAGGGAACAATTTGCCCTTTGCAAGCTTTCTGCAGAAGATTACCCAGTCTGGAATCAGTTGTGCATTAATTTCTCAAGCTGGGATTCCCACACACCCCAGTTAGTATAATGTGGAAGCCATTCTTATGTCCAGCATGCACTCTGGCTCTTATAATGGGAGATGATTTTTCTCATTCAGAGCCCTTGGTGGAGAAAGCTTCACTCCAGTTCACTGGGGCAGTGCACAGAGCTGTTCTCATCCATATGGATGAAATGGGCAGTTCTCTCAAAGCCCAGACTTTATACAGTGGTCCCAGCTCCTTATTATTGTGTCATAGTGGTTTAAGGTCCCTGTTTCTGTTCCTATTCAGCATTAAAAACTCATTCTCTTAAAGGTTAGGATGCATATCTCAGTCTGATTAAACCACCACAGCTTCGGCACTCACACTTAATGGTCAGGACTTAAGTTTTCTCCTTAGTTCTGACATTTAACACCACCACCCTCCCATATGCTTAGCTTCATGCATTTAATCTCAGCAGTATTCAAATGATGGTATTTCACCCACATTTTCATAGAATTATATGAGGAGAATGATTCAGATGAACTTGATCTAACATAGTTAAATATATCATCAAAAGTTAGAGTCAGAAAAACTAAATTATAGAAACTCTACAAAGTTTTCTTTCTTCAGAGTGGACTTGGTGAGGGGAGGAAAGGAGTTTTCATTTTAGAACTTTCTGAATGATTTTTAAAATTGTGTTAGATTTTCACAATAATCAGGTGAATCGTGTGTTTTTGTGTCACAAGCAATACAGAAAGCATCTGCACTGGATAGCAATATTGTCATTTACCTCTCCAGATCCAGTTCCACTCTTCCTTCCTTGATGCGTGGATGCAGACTTATGCAGATGGCATCCACATGCTTCATGCTTCTAGCTTTCAGTTGGACTTAATCAATGGGCCCCTTGCAGGAAAGAAGAAGGTAGGAGGAGAGTGAGTTTGCCATGTTTCCTGCATCCTCTTTGTGTTAGTCAGGGTTCTCCAGAGGGACAGAACCAACAGGATACATGTATATATAAGAGGAAGTTTACTAGGGAGAATTGGCTCACACCATTATAAGGA
Organism: Homo sapiens; assembly: GCF_000001405.40. Classification (NCBI taxonomy): domain Eukaryota; kingdom Metazoa; phylum Chordata; class Mammalia; order Primates; family Hominidae; genus Homo; species Homo sapiens. Next base: position 9,380,893 of record NC_000010.11, on the reverse strand, counting down.
TAGGCAGTCCGCAAGCTGGGAAAAGAGAGAAACTGATAGCATGGCTCAATACAAGTCTGAAAGCCTCAAAACCAGGGAAGCTGTTGGTGTAGCCCTCAGTCTGAGGCCAAAGGTGCAAGTCCCAGAGTCCAAGGGCCAAAGAACCTGGATTCTGATGTCCAAGGGCAGGAGGGGAGGAAGCAAGCGTCCAGCATGGGAAGAAGAAAGAGAGCCACAAGACTTAGCAAGCAAACTTTTCCACCTTCTGCCCCCTGCTTTGTTCCAGCCACGCTGGCAGCCAGTTGGATGGCACCTACCCACATTGTGGATAGGTCTTCCCCTCTCAGTCCACTGACCGACATGTCAGTCTCCTCTGGCAACACCCTCACAGGCACACCCAGAAACAACACTTCACGAGCCATCAAGGCATCCCTCAATCCACTCAAGTTGACACCTAATATTAACCATCACACCCAGCAAGCTGGGTAGCATGAGATGATTGTACTTCCTCCAACCAAGGCCATCACTCTCATCAGGAGGCCTGGGGGTTGCCATCCCGAGGAGTGGTCTATCACTTTTTGGTTTCTTTAAATCCTGCACATTACTTTGAAAATAGTTCCTTATTAAACCTACCCACTTAAAAGTGAAAATGCTGTCTCTGCTGGGAATATGACTTGTACAATAACTATTACCAGACATTGCCTCCGGAAATAGACCCTCCCATATGTCAAGAATTGGGATGCTGACATATGTGAGGAGGGCATGAACAACTGTTTCCCTGGGGTCAAATTGAAACCTGGGCATGTGGTGACAACACAATTACTTCAAGTCATCTCCACTGTGACAGAGGAATGAGCACAAGAGAAGGGCGAGATGTCTAGAGATCAAGTGACCAGTATTAATCACAATGCTGACAACAGCGATTGTAAAGATTGCAGAATTGGCTGGCAGCTTCAGAAGGCCTGAGAGCATGTACACAAGAGAAGAGTTAATGGAAGACCATGAATGTCCCATGCAGACCACACGTGGGCGAGCAGCAGTCTCCATGGCATATTTGATCTTGCAAAGCAGGTAGGGCCAATGATCAGTTGTAACAGACCTCAACTGTGAGTGTCATAGGGTGTCAGCATCAATCATCAACTCATCTGGTATCTTAGGTTGTAGGAGTTCGGTCAGGGTGGTGGGAAAAATTGTAGAAAAATGCAAACCTTCTTGGAAGGCTGGGAGGTTTTACAAAAGCTTCCGGAAATGGTTTGGCAGAAGGCAGCCAGATTCTCTTATCTGGTGCCTGAAAGCTTAGGTGAGATAACAAGGGGATGTAAAGAAATTGATCTAGATAAGTTAAGTTAGTTTACTTAGGCCTTTAATCATCCGTGCACAAGACTGCTCACTGGCGCGGAGTGGGGGGCGGGGGTGGGGGGGCCACCATGTTAACTACCCACAAGTGTGTTGACTCAAAGTCTTTGACATTAAATCTGTACTGAATAAATGCCCGCAGGGCTGGTCGAGGCTGCGGCTGCTAACTCTTTACAGCACCCTCCTCGGTGTCTGGGGGCAGCCCGGTCCCCTAGCCACGCGGCCAGGCAAAAAACCTGTGTCTGCGTGCAGTTTTTTCATCTGTCGTTTGGCAGGGTCTGCGGGTCAGACCCGGCATTAGGTTAAATTATGGACACAGATTGGGAGGGATTGAGTCACTGAGTCATGAAATGGGATCATTTTAGAAGACATAGAAGATACTAAAAACTGTGAAATTCCAAAATATCCCTTGCTAGCAGAGGTTATTGTCCACCTCGGGCTCTTTCCCCACTAGGAGAACAAAACTCCTTTTCAAAACTTTACAATGACTATTGCTGAGATACTTAATGATTATCATAGGAACAAAACTCATTAAACCTCATTATCTTCAGGCCCACAAAGAGACTGAGATCTCCACATAGCCACCCCTCCCCCAGAAACAAAAGGATTCATCTGGCAAAAGAACACTGAAGGAGTTGTAGGATCTCACCATTTTGTTTTGGCAAGAATTTGGAAAAATCCATCGGATTTCACTCAGAAAGTGTTAGAGCAACAAGAGTGAACTATAAGACTTGGATTAGGACATGTTTCCTAATGTATTTGAGCTACCTTAAAAATGGAAATTTATTGAGTACTTGGCAATGACAATCGTCTGCTGGATGGATTAATTAAAGCCTGCATCTAAATATGCTTTAAAATGAAGGAGTGTAAATCCTGATGTTCCCCTGGCATGCTTTCACGGAAGGAATCTGAAGATCCAGGGATTTGGGAATGACAGAAAGGATACATTGTTCGCAGCCTGCTCAGCCATTCTCTTAACTTACCCCTTGCAATGAATACTTGAAGGACCATCCCTTAACAGGCATTAAGAAATGCCTCGGTACTGGGGAGCGCCAGCATCCTTATCCAGCTTTGTAGTGGGACCTGTCCTCTGTAGTCCACAGGTTATGGTGGGATTTAAATTCTCATCTCAGTGGAAATAATGAGGGCCTAGATTTAATAATAGAGGGCTAATGTGGGGGTGCTCAAACAACAGACAATTTTCCATTTCTACAATAAGCCATGCTGATACAGCGGTATTCAGACTGTTCTGGCTTTCAAAATCTGTAGTGATTGCTAATTAACCACTGAGCTCCTGGAGGGAAAATATATGAGCAGCTCTTGAAGCATACTTTGGGCAAACACACACACACACACACACACACACACACACACACACACACACACGTGCATTGTTTGTTAATATTCATTGTTGTTGGTGTTTGCTTACTTTATTTATTTGTTTAGTGGGCAGAAGCACCTTAGCTTCCTGTGTGGGATTCTGATTGCTCTTATTCAGTTTACAGTTCTAATCCAGGTAACAAAACTAGCACTTCCTCCCTTGATAAGGAGACAGATTCTTTGGCAAAAATTCTATTAGATTGGTGCACAAGTCATTGCAGCTTTTGCCCTTGAAAGTAAGGACAAAACCATAATGACTTTTGCACCAACCTAATACTATATTGCCACAGGGAACCGCACCCATTTATCAGGATAACTGCGTCCAGAGGAAAGGGAAGTATCCAGATTGCCTGTCTATCAGTAGAGTGGCCACAAGCTGCAGCTGCTCAGGGGTGGCCCTCCTGTATGCCCATTGTCACAGCATTGGTCCAGTCAATGTCTTCTTCACTCTAAAAGGCATCCTGGTTTATGCGATGAGTTGTGCGGCTATTCTAGCTATTAGATACCATTTCTGAACTGATACTCATTACTCTAGACCATAAATGCCACTGTGGGGTTTATGGAGTTAAAAGGATGAGTGTAGCTTTGGCCTGAGATCATGTCTAACATTTGTAACATGCCCATCCTACAATCATTTCTCCAGCCCCAAAATATACTAGGAGAATAGATACAATTAATAGCTGGCAAAATCACTGCTGTGAGACATAACCCACAGAGTGAGGATTGTCTTAGAAAGGGCCAAGTGGAAGGTCCTCAAATCGCCTTCCCTGCTCACTGTTATGAAACCATAATACCCTAGACTTGGCAGAGCTGTTGAGATTTACGCGACCATCAGACAATTGAGAGAGGTAGTGACTGTGATTCATAAAGCAGCCCCATTGACCATGTTTGTCCAGTGAAAAGGTTGTTAAGATTTGGGGGAATGATCATGAAAAATCGTTATCAGCTGATGTTTCCCATTGCAGCTATAATTCTATTTGTAGTCTTAAAGAATTCAACATAGACTATGGGAATAGATGTACAGTTACTTGGTTGCTTTATCTCCAATGTCACTTTTAACAAAGGTTATCAGAAGCGGTTAACTTTCTAGAGAGTGGAACAATATTTCTTTCATTGTCTTTCCTCAAAACTTGGTGAACTCTCTTACCCTGTGTCACAGTTTACTCTGAAGAGGCACTGATTGTCTTATTGTCCTGCAGGACATCATGCTGTTCCCATACATGGACAATATTATGCTAACCAAACCTCTTGGGAAGCTCATAGCTGCTGGCCATGCAACCCCACTGATTATATGACTTGAACTATCCATCTTTATCTGGATGTTACCTAGTCTGCTGAACCATAAAATTGAATGTTTATAGGAGAATTTAATTGCAGAATGGAAATACATTTACCAGAGATCCAAACAGAGCACAGATGGTTCTGATGGTCTTGGTACTTGCTCCTGCCACCTTTCTGGCTCTCTTTCAACACATCTCTTACCTTGCGGTGAGTTTTCTATGACTTGTTAAGGGATTTGTAGCTCTGTGCTGCATTTAGATCTGCACTGTTTACAGGCACCAAGCAAAAGATGTTGTTAATTAAGAGGGGCCCTGGAAGCAGCAGTGAAAGGAAAGAAAACCCTCCTATGTGCTTATATTAGGTCAGTATACGGTTCTATTTCATGTAAAATAAGAGATGGCTTGATGCATGTACCTGATGCATGAGTAGTGGCAACTTATTAAGGTTGCAAATCTAGCAAAAAACTAGAAAAAAATGAAATAGGATAACAAGGTGGTCTATAGGAGTAGTTTATAGATAAACCACTAGAAACAGAAGCACAGGACATCTGCTTTGTGAAGACTGTCCATAATGAAGTCAACAGAATAATCCACTCAGTGGGCAGCCTCTTATACTGGCCATTCCAAAGCTTGCTCAAGGTGTCCATTTATGTATTAGCCATTGTTTTAAAGATGAAACCTCAAAAACGAAATCAATTTGCTGATTGACAAAATTTGTTGTTAACTTGTTGAAGAGACAAAATAAATTTTGTGGAAATTTATTTATTTATGTCTTCTTATATATGTACATTTCTCGCTTCTTATGTACATACCTAAGAAGGGAGAAATAAATTTCCACAAAATTTTATGGATAGTACTCTAATTGTAGTAATAATATTTCAGTACAATTTTTTGCTAATACAGATCCACTAATGTGAAGAATGGAATTATTTTTGAAGGAGATAACATGTTAACTGGAGTTCAGAGTTAATGTTCTCTATAATCAAAATCTGTTGGAAATGTTCATCAGTTATTAGTGATTTGTAATGAGATTTTACATATTTTATCTTTGAAAATGTCTTCATGCAGATATTTACAGCCAAATACTCTATCATTTGATAAGCATACGATCTTAACTGAGCATATGCAGCAATTTCAGGGCATTGATAAAATTCTAGATTCCTGCTTGATATTGGTGTTTTGGCATGGCTTTACATTGCATATTAATCTGTCCCAATTGAACATTAGGTGAAAGTTTCTCAATTTCACACCTAAGTAGATTGTAAATTATGGAAATTCTCTTTGCACTTTCATTGAGGCCAAAATATGCGCTGAAACTCTAGTTTCAGCTCAGAAAATATATTCTATGCAAATTTGTGTAGAAATAAAGATCTCATTTCTTGTTTTAACTTTTGATAGCACAAGAAATGTATGACATCACGATTCAAACAATGATTGTTGTTGAAATGACTTTACTGTAGTATAAGTTTCACATATAAGCTCAGTTTTCCATTGTAATTTGGGGTTGAGTTAATCAAGAAACATAATCAAGTGTGCAGCAAAAGCTAATTTCCCAAAACATTTGGTGTTCAGTAATATTGATCAAGGGCAGTTCTTGTTAAGATAAGTTTCAGTTTTGGCTTCAAGCTAAAAAAAATCCACAATAAAACTTTGCCTCTGCTTAAGCCATCAAATTGCCTGTATAGATGGTAGAACAATTTAGTGTATTCAACTTTTTCTGTCAAAAGTTTACAGAATTCACAATGGCTAAGTCCATGAATGTGACTAAATTTCAATATTGACACTACTTTTTAATAATATGTTGATAGATAAATGTCTTCTGCAAAGTATCTGCTAATGAATGCTACCATGAATAATGGCAAGCCTTACACTCGTTACATTTTCACAAGCTTTGTAAATTTTTCCAACTATGCCTTTTTCTACACCATGTACATTCACCACCATCAATTGTGATGCATCTTAGATGATTTCACTTCAGGTTCTATTGAATGAGTGTTTTATCAACGTCTCTAAATATTCTTGCCTGTAGTTGTTCCATGCAGACTACTCATAGAGGCGAATTCTTCAGCCAATTCAAACTCAGCATTGACTCTAATACACAATGACAACTGAACAGTATTAGTCACATCTGTCCGTTTATCAAGAACCAAGGACAACCACTCACAATTGTTTGCCTTGTTTTTTAATTGATGATTAACGTTGCTCCCACTGTTTCAACTTTGGAGCAACTATTCTTGCAGAAAAACTACTAGTTTTTTGAATTGGCAAATAAAAGTTGTATATATTTATGGTGTACAACATGATGGTTTGATATATGTATACATTGTGGAATGGCTAAATATAGCAGATTAACATATGCATTAGCTCACATACTTAGTATTTTTTTGTGATAAGAACATTTAAAATCTACTAAGGCTAGTACAGATGGTCCCTGGCTTAGGATAGTTCAACTTACAATTTTTTCTTACTTTATGATGGTGTAAAAGTGGTATGCTTTTATTATGCTCATGGACTTACAAGGGGTTATGTCCTGATAAACTCATCATAAGATATTATCAATTTGCAGTAAGTTTATTGGGGAATAACTTCATTGCAAGTCAAGGAGTATCTGTAGTCTTCTCTGTTTGTTTGTTTCAAAATGTCGACACATTTCTTCATCTGCTTCAATCAAACAGGGTTTAATTGAATTACCACAGGTCAACCACTTTTCTTGCTTGGCTAACAAATGAGCTACTTGCTAACTTTCTTTCCAGAGCTCCAAAAAGGATCAGTTGAGGTCGCAGTAACAATTACATTATAGGTCAGCTTTTCCCTCTGATATCATTTAATATTTTGATTTTTATGTAGAAATTTTACCAGGTTATAATATTCTGTAACACTTTTGTCTTCTGGTAGCATATTGAATACTTGGGGTTATTTAGCTATCAATATGATCTAAATTTTCAATCCAAAAGATCTAACTTGAAATGGTACTGTCTATATTGGTTAGTCTCTGAAACAGCTACAGAGTAGAAAATGCAGAGGCTAAGTCTTAGCTGTTTTTTTGTCTTTCTTCCTTTTATTCCTGTTACTTTACATAAAGTACACTGGTGGTAGCTAACATCTTTGTTTCAAGTAATGTGTTAAGTCAAAGGAGTCAATCGCAAAAGAATCATGTGATTCCGTTCATATGAAATGTCCAGAACAGGGAATCTGTAGAACCAGAAAGTAGATTAGTAGTTGCTTAGGGCAGAGGGTGGGAAAACTAGGTGGTAGGACATGCTTGCTGCAAGGTACAGAGTTTCTTTTCAGGGTGATGAAAGTGCTGTACAACTGACCATGGTGATGGTTGTGTGTATCTGTGAATATACTGAAAACCATTAAGTTGTACTCTTTAAGTGGGTGATGTTTATGGTACATAAATTATATCTCAATAAAGCTGTGAGGGGAAAAAAAGCACAGAATGTAGTAAGAACAAATATGTCTAATGTATGATCAGAACATGTGAAAATTGTAATAAAAATGCAGATTGCTATGATATCATCGTTTTATACAAATAACAAATTATCTTAATCATGTTAAAGGACTTACCTTAGAAAGGAGAGAAAAAAAGAGTATGGAACTAAAATACATATGAAGAAATAATGGCTGAAAATTTCTCAAAGTGGTCTTGAGATATAAACTTATAGACGCTTTCAAGAAGCTAAAATAAATCCAAACAGGGTAAACCCAAAGAAATCTGTCTAAATAGATCACAATCAAACTTCTAAAAGACAAACAAGCAACAAAACGAAATCTAATAAAGAGGATCTAGGCCTAAATGGCTTCAATGATTTAATAGTATCAATCATGTAAGGAAAACAATATCAGTTGTATACAAAATCCTTCAGAAAATAGTAGATAGGGGAAAGTATTTCATTTCCTGAGACCATGAAAGCACAGATACCAAAACCAGACAAAGACATTCTAAGAAAAGAGAACTTTTTTTTCTTGCAAATTTGTTTGAGTTCATTGTAGATTCTGGATATTAGCCCTTTGTCAGATGAGTAGGTTGCGAAAATTTTCTCCCATTTTGTAGGTTGCCTGTTTACTCTGATGGTAGTTTCTTTTGCTGTGCAGAAGCTCTTTAGTTTAATTAGATCCCATTTGTCAATTTTGGCTTTTGTTGCCATTGCTTTTGGTGTTTTAGACATGAAGTCCTTGTCCATGCCTATGTCCTGAATGGTAATGCCTAGGTTTTCTTCTAGGGTTTTTATGGTTTTAGGTCTAACATTTAAGTCTTTAATCCATCTTGAATTAATTTTTGTATAAGATGTAAGGAAGGGATCCAGTTTCAGCTTTCTACATATGGCTAGCCAGTTTTCCCAGCACCATTCATTAAATAGGGAATCCTTTCCCCATTGCTTGTTTTTCTCAGGTTTGTCAAAGATCAGATCGTTTTAGATATGCGGCATTATTTCTGAGGGCTCTGTTCTCTTCCATTGATCTATGTCTCTGTTTTGGTACTAGTACCCTGCTGTTTTGGTTACTGTAGCCTTGTAGTATAGTTTGAAGTCAGGTAGTGTGGTGCCTCCAGCTTTGTTCTTTTGGCTTAGGATTGACTTGGCGATGTGGGCTGTTTTTTGGTTCCATATGAACTTTAAAGTAGTTTTTTCCAATTCTGTGAAGAAAGTCATTGGCAGCTTGATGGGGATGGCATTGAATCTATAAATTACCTTGGGCAGTATGGCCATTTTCACGATATTGATTCTTCCTACCCATGAGCATGGAATGTTCTTCCATTTGTTTGTATCCTCTTTTATTTCATTGAGCAGTGGTTTGTAGTTCTCCTTGAAGAGGTCCTTCACGTCCCTTGTAAGTTGGATTCCTAGGTATTTTATTCTCTTTGAAGCAATTGTGAATGGGAGTTCACTCATGATTTGGCTCTCTGTTTGTCTGTTATTGGTGTATAAGAATGCTTGTGATTTTTGTACATTGATTTTGTATCCTGAGACTTTGCTGAAGTTGCTTATCAGCTTAAGGAGATTTTGAGCTGAGACGATGGGGTTTTCTAGATATACAATCATGTCATCTGCAAACAGGGACAATTTGACTTCCTCTTTTCCTAATTGAATACCCTTTATTTCCTTCTCCTGCCTAATTGCCCTGGCCAGAACTTCCCCATCAAAAAGTGGGCGAAGGACATGAACAGACACTTCTCAAAAGAAGACATTTATGCAGCCAAAAAACACATGAAAAAATGCTCACCATCACTGGCTATCAGAGAAATGCAAATCAAAACCACAATGAGATACCATCTCACACCAGTTAGAATGGCAATCATTAAAAAGTCAGGAAACAACAGGTACTGGAGAGGATGTGGAGAAATAGGAACACTTTTACACTGTTGGTGGGACTGTAAACTAGTTCAACCATTGTGGAAATCAGTGTGGCCATTCCTCAGGGATCTAGAACTAGAAATACCATTTGACCCAGCCATCCCATTACTGGGTATATACCCAAAGGACTATGAATCATGCTTCTATAAAGACATATGCACACGTATGTTTATTGTGGCACTATTCACAATAGCAAAGACTTGGAACCAAGCCAAATGTCCAACAATGATAGACTGGATTAAGAAAATGTGGCACATATACACCATGGAATACTACGCAGCCATAAAAAATGATGAGTTCATGTCCTTTGTAGGGACATGGATGAAATTGGAAATCATCATTTTCAGTAAACTATCACAAGAACAAAAAAGCAAACACCGCATATTCTCACTCATAGGTGGGAATTGAACAATGAGAACACATGGACACAGGAAGGGGAACATCACACTCTGGGGACTGTTGTGGGGTTGGGGGAGGGGGGAGGGATAGCTTTAGGAGATATACCTAATGCTAAATGACGAGTTAATGGGTGCAGCACACCAGCATGGCGCATGTATACATATGTAACTAACCTGCACATTGTGCACATGTACCCTAAAACTTAAAGTATAATAATAATAAAATAAAATAAAATAAAAAGAAAATAGAACTATAGAACAGTATCCTTCATGATCTTAGAGCCAAAATCGTCAAGAAAATATTGGCACATCATATCAAGCAATATCCATAATTATTGAGTGAGATTTATCCCGGGAATGCAAGACTGGTTTAACACTGCAGTCAATTAATATGCATCATCATACCAACAGACTAATAAGAAAAATCTGTTACATTGTCTCAATAGATACAGAAAAATAATTTGACAAAATTTAGCATATTAACAATTAAATGTTAACAACAGAACATGTATAGAAATTCTCAGCAAACTAGGCATCGAAATTAACTCCCTTTACCTAATAAAAGGCATCTGCAAAAAACCTACAATTAATGTCATACTCCCTGAGGTTCAGAAAAAGCAAGATGTTCATTCTCACTACTTCTATTCAAGATCATGTTGTGGGTTCCCAGCCAATGATACAAGGCAAGAAAAAGAAATAGAAAATGTATAGACTGAAAACTAAGAAATAAACTTTTTCTATTCTTGGGTGTCATTATTGTATACATAGAACATATCAAGGAATCTACAAAAAGCTACTATACTTGATAAGTGACTTTAGCAAAGCCACAGGACATAAGAACAACAGAACATAATCAGTTATATTTCTGTACACTGGAAATGAACAATCAAATTGAAATAGTTAAAAATAGTACCAATTGTAATAATATAAAATATAAAATATTTAGAAATTAATCTAAGCAACCCTGTACAAGACTGATTAATTGATCTCTTTATAAGTATAAAACCAATTGATCTCTTTATAACTATAAAACCAATTGATCTCTTTATAACTATAAAACCAATGAATAAATATGACACATATGTGGGTAGTTTATACATACACACATGCTTGTGCATGCAGACACACACACACACACACACATATTTTCATATAAGACTCAATAATTTTCAGATACTAAGTTTCCTTAAACTTCAACGGAGCTTTGAAATAGGTTCAACAAAATTCTCTTCAAAACCACAGCAGAACTTTTGGCAGAAATAGACAATGAATTTTGTAGAGATAAAATCTTTAGTAGAAATAGACTGTAAATTATATAAAGCTAATAGGATAGACAAACGCAATTTTGAAAAAGAACAAAATTCAGCACTCACACTGATTTCTAGACTGAAGTAATCAGTAATCATGTTTGATATTGAGATATAGCCAATGGTTTTACATTTATAATAGTGGTGATATAATTAATACTGCCTAAAATTTATGATACATGTGGTATTGACTAAGCAGTAGAGATATAAATCAATGAATCAGAGTGGAAATTCTAAAATTAGACCCATATGTATGACCAATTGGCTTTTGACTAAAATGTCAAAGAAATTCAGTGAAGAAAAATAGTCTTACAAAAAATGGTGCTAGAACAATTAGAAATACATATGCAAAAATAGAATATTTATTCATATTTTACCTTATCCAAAGATTAATTCAAGAACTGTTATAGTGTTAAATGGAAATCTTAAAACTACAAAAACTTCTAGGAACATCTTTGTGTAAATCTATATGGGCCTGGCTTAGACAAAGCTTTCTTAAATTCATATAATAAAATTAATTAACACATTGAACTTCATCCAAATTTAAAATTTTTGTTCTGTGAAAGATAATTTTAAGAAAATGGAGACAAAAGCCCCAAATTGGGAAAAAATTACTTATAAAATACATATCTGACAAAGTACTTAAACTAGCATAGATTTTAAAACTCTTAAAATCACTAATAAAATCATGCAGCTCAGTTAAAAATTGAAAATGAATAGGTATTTCATCAAAGACAATATAACAGACATGTGCGTGAAAAGATGCTTAGCATCACTAATCATTAGGAAAATGCTAACGAATCAAAACAAAACAAGATATGATCACATGGCTATTAGAATGGCTACAATAAAAAATGCTAACAATACCAAGTACTGGCAAGAATGCAGAAACAGTGGAACTCTCATCCATTTCTTACACGGATGTATAATGCTACAGCAACTAATACATCCACATATCTAAGTGAGGTTCCCACCTGTGCTTGAGCAGAATATGAGGTAGGTTGGGACTGTACTGTGCACTGTTGTAAATTTCCATGAACTTTAATTTAAAAGGACAATGAGATATAGTTTTTGGACTTTAAGTTATTCATGGAGATTTCCTAATTTGAATGTTTTTATATTCATATTTGGGCCATCTGTACTGTTGACAATTTATTATTGTAGCATTTTTCTTCTGTCATTTTCTATCAATGTAGTCTCAGCTGAGCTGTATTTAATGATATAACTGGTCATATTTTTGTAAAATAAAATAAGGAATAAATTTTTGTGCCCTTGAACATAGGCTGCAGGAATATACCTCAGCTCATTGCCTATATTAGTAAAATGCACTTTGGTTTTATTTGCCCATTTTTTTTGTATTGTTTCAGCCATTGCATCATGTAAAAGTGGTAGATTTTCACCAAATTTGAAGGTTATATTTGAAATAGTCCCATTGAAACTATTGGCAACATAGGCTATATGAAATTCATCTTGAGAGTGACTACTAGCAGAGTCAGTTGAAGCTTGAGTATATAATAAAAGACCTGTAGAGATGCCACTTGAACGAAACATGAGGACTTGGTTAAAAGACCCTGGATAGAGAAAAAATGGTTTTAAATATGCAGCCAAATCAATTGTGAAATCTACGCATCATTCCAAGATCCATTTCCACTACTATTGCCTCATTATAATCTATGCTGATCTCCTAAACCAGAAGTTGTATTTCTCTCCTTTGAAACTCTGCAGCACTTGATACCATTTTTTGTCATAAATCATAATCTTTCTTATTAAAGTGTTGTGTTCTCCGATTAAACTGTGATTTATTTGAAGGTGATAACTATGTCATTTTTATTACTGGATCACTGACAATGTCTGTAATGGCATCTAGAATGAGACAAGTGCCCAGTAACTTGTGTATTGGGTTCTGCCTACTCTTTCATCATTGTTTCTTGTTAAATATTACACACGATGAATAAATTGCAAAAAATGAATACAGATTTACGAATATTTTAAAACTGCATGCAGGCATGTAGCTAGCACTCAAATAAAGATACAAAGCATTACCAAAGGCCAAGTAGTTTCTCTGGTACCTTATACAGTCTCACCACCTGCTCATCCCAAAGATAATCATTATCTTGACTTTTAATGGCATAGATTAACTTTGTCTACTTTTGAACTTTATATAAGTAGAATGATACCAACTGTGCTCTTTAGTGCCTGGCTGCTCTCTGACTCAACATCACATTTCTGAGATGCATCCATATTGTCGTTCATTCATGCACATTACTATGGATTACTATTTTGGGTATGCTACCCAAAGCATGGTCTCTGGGCCTGCTGCAGCATTATATAAGATCTTGTTAGAAATGCAAATGCCTAGGTCCCACCCCAGACCTGCTGAATCAGAATCTCTTGAAGTGGGGCCCAGCAATCTGTGTTTTATCAAGCTGTTCATGGGATTATTATGCCTGGTTACAATTTGAGAACTGTGACTATATAGTATTCTGCTGTGTGAACATACCATGATAAAATCATCTAATTAACTGTTGATGGTACCAGCATCATTTTTGTATCCTGTCCATGAAATCCATATAATCCAGATTATTATAACTATTATTATAACTATTTTCAAATATCCCATTCTTTCTTGCCTCTAAAATTTTGCACATTGCTGTAGAATGAATGTTTTTGTCCCCATGAAATTCAGATATAGAAGCCTTAATCCTCAAGGTGATAGTGTTTGGGGAGGGAGGTGGCCTTTGGGGGTAATTAAGCTTAGATGAGTCAGGAGGGTGGAGTCTCCATGATAAGGTAGGTGCCCTTAAAAGGATGACTAGACCAGACTCTACTCTTTCCACCAAGGCACCCTGCTGCCCAACAGGAAAAGGGCTCTCACCATGCACCAAATTGGCTGGAAACTTGATCTCGGACTTCCTAGCCTCCTAGTCTCAAGAGCTATAAGAAATAAATTTTAGCTGTTTAATCCACCCAGTCTGTGGCAATTTGTTATAGCAGCTTGAACTGACTATGGTGCACTTGGTATCTCCTTAGGCTGCTATGCACTTAATTACTTACACGGTCTTTTCTGGTCTGAAACAAATTTCTTTTTTCTGTGATCTAATTTGTCCAGTACCTACCTCATATCTCCACCATATATTAATATATACTCACTCATCTGTCCCATTCACTAGACAGTGAGTACCTTCAAAAAAGAAACTGTCTTTTTAAAGAAAGTTTGTATCCCCAACACTGAACACAGGGGCTAACACAAAGTACATACTCAACAATAAATTGTAGATTTAAACAATAAAGGAAATGAAAATGCAATATTACCTATAGGACAAAAATCATAAATCCCAATGAACTAGAATAATCATCATTTTGTATTGACTCTATAAAACAACAGAAATATCTTCAAATTCTTTGAAAAATATTTTTCATCACTTACTATGCTGAGAGCAATTCTAAGTGCTAAGCATTCAGGAAAATAAAAATCTGAATGAATTTTGATAAACGCTTTCAAATAACTCTATTACAATAAGATGCATTATGTAATCAACATTCCCTGTGTTATAAAGACCAAACTGGCCAACTCTACTTGGTTTGCAGCCACTGACTTTTTTTTTTTTTTTTTTTTTTGAGACAGAGTCTCACTGTCACTCAGGCTGGAGTGCAGTGCTGTGATTTCCACTCACTGCAGCCTCCACCTCCCAGGTTCAAGTGATTCTCCTGCCTCAGCTTCCTGAGTATCTGGGACTACAGGCTCATGCCACCACGCCTGGCTAATTTTTGTATTTTTAGTAGAGGCAGGGTTTCTCCATGTTGGCCAGACTGGTCTTGAACTCCTGACCTAAAATGATCCACCCACCTTGGACTCCCAAAGTGCTGGATTTACAGACATGAGCCACAGCACCCGGCCTGAGACACTGACTTTTTTTTGTCTCTTAAACAACAAAATAAGAAGAAGAGGAAGAAGGAGAAGGAGAAGTAGAAGGAGAAGGAGAAAGAAGAAGAAGGAGAAGGAGAAGAAGAAGAAGGAGAAGAAGGAGAATAAGGAGAAGAAGGAGAAGAAGAAGAAGAACAGGAGGAAGAGGAAGAAAAAGAAGAAGAGAAATAAATAAATAATGAAGGAATGGGAAGGTATGGGAAGAGGAGGAGAGGCAAAAAGGAAAAAGAAATAAGAAAGGAAGAAAGAGAAATAAGGAAAGAGGGAATGTATTAGTCTGTTCTCACACGGCTAATAAAGACATACTCAAGGCTGGGTAATTTATAAAGAAAGGAGGTTTAATTGACTCATAGTTCCACATGGCTGGGGAGGCCTCACAATCATGGCAAAAGGCGAATGAGGAGCAAAGACACGTCTTAAATGGAGGCAGGCAAGAGAGCGTGTGTAGGGGAACTCCCCTTTATAAAACCATCAGATCTTGTGAGACTTATTCACTATCACGTGAACAGCACAAAAAGACCCGCCCCCATGATTCAATTACCTCCCACCAGGTGGTTCCCATGACACATGCGAATTATGGGAGCTATAATTCAAGATGAGATTTGGGTGGGGACACAGTCAAACCGTAGCAGGGAGAGCAGGAGAGGGAAGAGAGGAGAGGAAAAAAATACAGAATCTTCAGATGTAGTTTGCCTCTGCTTATTACTTCAACAGAGCCAGGCTGGTGTGCAGTGTCTAGGCAATGGGCTTACAAAAGAAAACTACCTGCCTCCTGAGTCTTCTGTTTAAAATCCTGCTGTGAAGACCTGTTACCTACCACGAGCAGTGTATTATTTTGTTCAGAGTCTTCTCACATCCTCGTGAAGTACCAGAATTCCTAGGAGAGGTAACAATTTAATCTTTATACAATATTTTCACCATGTCAAGTATTTTCTAGAAAATAGAGCAACGAAAGCAAGGGATTAATTGGCATTTAGGAGGAGATGAGCGGGGTCAGTCTACCAAGGAGAAAACAGCCCTATAAAATTTTAGTTGGCTCATTTACTTTGTCTTTCAGATTCGGCTCTTAGTGCCCATCCTACAATCCAAGTCAGTGCTGGTAACTCTTTCACAGGTGTGTGCGTGTATGTGTGTGTATATATACAGAAAATACTTCCTCTGATACATCTTCAGTGAATATCCTGCCCTTATTTTCTGATGCTGTGCTTATTCTTTTAAAGTAATTATCAGAATCATTTAGCCTGTCTCTTCTTCACTAGACTATAAGCTCTATATTGGCAGTGCTCATATCTAACTTACTCAATATAGCCGGTTTACAGCATTTATTCAACAAATATTTGATGGAGAAAGAAATTAGAATAAATACATGCCCACAAATGGCATATAAAATTAAAATTTCAGGCCGGTGTAGTGGCTCACACCTGTAATCCGAGCACTTTGGGAGTCTGAGGCAGGTGGCTCGTTTGAGGTCAAGAGTTCGAGACCAGCCTGGCCAGCATGGCAAAACCCCATCTCTACTAAAAATACAAAATTAGCCAGGAGTGGTGGGAGGCGCCTGTAATCCCAGCTACTCAGGAGGCTGAGGCATAAGAATCCTTTGAACCCAGAGGCAGCAGTTGCAGTGAGCCGTGATCCGCCACTGCACTCCAGCCTGGGTGACAGAGAGAGACCCTGTCTCAATAATAATAATAATAATAATAAATTAAAACTTCAGATAGCAGCATAGCAGCAGTAGGTTTATGTATTACTCAGGGTTTTAGGAGTTGCAGGTGACAAGACATCAAATCAAAACACCTTAATGAAAAAGAAAGACATCAAATCAAAACAACTTAATGAAAAAGAAGAATAAACGATTGATTCTCATACCTGGAAAGTCTAGGGATGTATCTGATTATAGATACATAGATACTGTGAGATTCGAGGATCATACGATGTCACATGGCTTTGGTCATGTTCAGCTTCCCTTTGTCTAGCCTTATTCTGCAATCAAACTCTCATCACCGGGTGAGCATGAACTTGTCCTCTTGGACACCCATTCTCTCATTTTAGTTTTCCCTAAAGAAGAATGTCTCTTTGTAAAGAGCTATTTATTTACTTACGTTATTGCAGCAGTTTCTTCAATGGCACTTATTATGGGCAGACATTTTTCAGAGGCTTTACAAATATAAGCTCATTTGGTCATGATTATTGTACCTATCTTACAGATGAGAGTAGTTCATTTCTAGGTACCACACTTGTTAAGTTTGCATTCCAGTGGAAGGCGGCATCCACTAAATAATATAGACATAATAATATGTCATTAATAATAATATGTTCTATCATATTAAAAGGTGGCAAATACTATGGAAAAGGGAAAAGTAGAGTCAGTAGGATTGTTAGTATCAGGGGAGCAATGCATCCAGTCCAGGAGACATTTAAATAGGTTGGTTAGAATAGAGTTTTCCTATTTTTAACAGAAAGATCCCCAACTTATTGATCTACTTATGTCTTCTCCAATTCCGAGAGTCCAATGTCAAAGGCTAGAATCTAGAAGAAGAAAAAGTTGTCTGGGTGTCATAAGAAAAATATGTAAGTCAGTCCTACAATTAGGAAGCTAATTGTTTTAAGATGAGCAAAGTCAAAGCAAGTTTATAAAAAACAGTTTCCCAGCCAGGTTATGCAGAATCTGAAATTCTACCATAGATGCATTCAATTAATAAGAACTAGTAGGTCAACCTGCCATGCCTGGCTCTCTTCTCTGTCCTAGATACATATTTTGATAGGTTTCTCCAATCAATGACAAATTGTGTATATGAATCCTTATGCATTGAATAACACATGAAATTAATCCATTTTAAAGTGTTAATGACTTACAATGTTGTTTCTTTTTTGTTGTAAGACTGGTTGAGTCCCTTCTCTTCTCTTTTATCTCCCTAAAAGGAAGTATTTTCTTCAAAATATTTCTTACTACGAACTGGCTCTGTAGAGCAGCAGTCCCCAACCTGTTTTGCACCAGGAAGTGGTTTCATAGAAGATAATTTCTCCACGGATGGGGGCGGGTTGGGGGAGGGTAATGATTTCAGGATGAAACTGTTCCACCTCAGATCATCAGGCATTAGATTCCCAAAAAGTGTGTGCAACCTAGATCCCTCGTGTGTGCAGTTCACATAAGCGCTCTGCTCCTATCAGAATCTCATGCCACTGCTGATCTGACAGGAGGCAAAGCTCAGGCGGTAATGCTCTCTTGTCTGCCACTCACCTCTGGCAGTGTGGCCCATTTCCCAATAGGCCATGGGCCAGGGATTGGGGACCCCTGCTGTAGATTACCAAAGAGATTTCCCCAAATAGTGTTCCCCCAAAATTAGCAGACATTGAACCTTCTGAAACAATAAAAGTTCATGGGGATGGGGCAAAATAGTGCATATTTTATAATGAGTCAGTTGTTACAATAATTGTGATATTGGGTAGGATGTTACTTAAATGCAAACTTGATTTATATACATGTCATCTAGTAAGGACTAGTGATAATTACTAATCAATTCAGAATAAGGTATATTTCAGAATTCTGGATTATCAGAGTATCTTAAGCCATGATATCCAGTATCTCAAAAAGTTAAAACTTTTTCCCTTTCAGAAACGCATTTGTTGTGAGGCTTAAATAGATGTAAAATAACAGTAGTGATACTGACAGGGGCATGGCCAGCTTCTAAGCCCATTGTCGTAACATTTCCGAGATAGCAAAAGTGCTTAAGATCTAAAATATCAAATATCAAGACTGAGTTTGATAAGAATCATCTAGTGGTCAGCTTTACTAGTGGAAAATAAAAGTCAGGCTTCTTCTGATCTTCTGTCTCCATTTGAAAATTATTCAAAACTTAAGAAAAATACCCAAGGAGATTTTCTATGTAAGCTTTCTGAAATTGATCACTCAGCCTCCAAATGGCTTGGAGAACTCCGAAAAAGTACATAGAAGAGTAGGTTTACAGTGTATCTCATTGACTGAATTGCTCACGAGAATAATGCAGATATAAGAGAGGCTTTCACTCTGAATAGTGACGGGGAAAGAAGGTCATTAAACAGATTTCAGTTCCCAATTAACACTCCATATTGAACCACCATTTTCTCTGCCAGTAAGGCATGACCAAGTATTTAATTCATCCTGAAGACTCTACAGGAAGGTCAATTTTAATATATTTTAAGTGTATATAAGGAACTCCTTCCAGTGTATATTATTTCTCCTCACTTCAAATGTTGATGAATTTGCTCATCACTTTCCAAAAAAGAAAATAGTACTCAAAACTCAAAGGAAATACCCGTCCAGGTCATTGGTAATTCTGTGCTGAAAATCTGGGTCAGTTATTTCTCATCTCCTAAGGTCCCTTACGCTTTTGAATTATAGTATATTCCTCTAAATGATACAATTATGAAGGTATGTATTGTCTGTCTTAGAACCATTGGGAAAATCACCTACGTCAGAAAATTACGCTTAGAGATGACAGATATGTGTTTTATATGATTCTTTTCTTATCCTCTAAACAGTATTCGTGATGCCAAGGCCAATGGTAAGGAGGTACTGAATGAGTTGGCCTGAAGTTCTAGGTACTTCTTTCTTCTGTAACATTTCCCCCTGATGCTCTGAGCAACTCACTTTCCTCCACTGAATAAAATAAAACCTTTAAGTGTATATTTTCAAAGCAGATGCAGGCAAAAGAGACGATTAAGTGATCCTGCAGGATAGAAATAGAAGAGTGAGAACCAGCGGTGGCTCACACCTGTAATTCCAGCATTTAGAGAGGCTGGTTGGATCACTTGAGGTCAGGAGTTTGAGACCAGCCTGGCCAATATGGTGAAACTCTATCTCTACTAAAAATACAGAAATTAGCCAGGCGTGGTGGCGCATGACTGTAATCCCAGTTACTTGCGTGGCTGAGGTAGGAGAATCGCTTGAACCCGGGAGGCAGAGGCTGCAGTGAGCTGAGATCCTGCCACTGCACACCAGCCTGGGTAACAGAATGAGACTCTATCTCAAAGAAAAAATAAAAATAAAAAGAGACAGGGAGAGAGAGAGAGAGAGAACCAGCGTGTCTAAGGGGAGAAAAGGGAAAATAAGGGAATCATAAACAGACAATTTTTCCTCTTAAGTTCTTTAAAGTTATTTGTGATTTTATTTGTTTCTACCTTCCTAGATCTAACATATCACATACAAAAGCTGGGTTTATAAGCCTGTGTGGAGAAATGAATTAAATTTGCTGACATCCCATAGAAGCAATTATTGACAACAATTTTTCTATATCATTTTAGTTTGCAAATAAAATGCTTTAGCGAGTTTATAAAAAAAAATCTAAACAGTGCTTACCTGCAGATAAGTAGAGAGTTTACCAAAAAAAAAAAAAATTCTAAACAGTGCTTATCTGGAGGTAAGTTTCTGTAGTTTAGAAATTCACTCAAACCTGGAAATTGCTGTGTGTCACCAATGTAATAAAATAATATAGCTCCAAGGAGTTTTTCACCTTTGAATTTAAAATATCTAGTAGTTTTATGTATCTCTTTATTTAGTACTACTCTTAGCCCTCATTATGCAGGTCTTACTTTTGTGTGCGAAATGTTTGATATTAACAGTTAGTATTAATTATAAAATTATTAGAAGCCATCTATTGTAATAATTGATAAATCACACACACATACATATATATATAGAGAGAGATATTATTTGGATACATATGTGAATATATGTATATATAGTGATAGTTAAATATCATCTACATGTGAATATATGCATATACAGTGATATATATCTATGTACATATCTATGTATGTACATATTATATCACTTAGAGATATATATTTGTATATATTGCAATAGATATATGTATTACATATATGTGATAACTATCTCAGATATATACATTATATATAAATGTACATGCATTTATACAAACATATCAAACATATACATGTATCATATAGTTATTCAGAAAATATATTAAATACATATTTAAATATATATGTGTATATGTATATATGCACGCACATACGTATCTATATTGTCATTCATACTGGAATTTGAACCTAAGGAAACTAGTTTCAGAGACCACGCTGTCATCAAGCTTCCCCTATTTCTTTTTTTTTTTTTTTTTTTTTTTTTTTTGAGACAGAATCTCACCCTGTCGCCCAGGCTGGAGTGCAGTGGTGTGATCTCAGTTCACTGCAACCTCCACCTCCCGGGCTCAAGTGATTCTCCTGCCTCAGCCTCCCAAGTAGCTGTGATTACAGGTGCGCACCACCACACTGGGCTAATTTTTGTATTTTTAGCACAGATGGGGTTTTGCCATGTTGGCCAGGCTGGTCTCGAACTCCTGACCTCGTGATCCGCCCACCTCATCCCCCCAAAGTGCTGGGGTTATAGGCATGAGCCACCGCGCCTAGCCTCTCCTTGTTTCTTTTAATATTCCCAGTGCCCAGGAAAAGTTTATTCCAAAGAATGTTTGGGAAGAGGTAGAATAATGGAAAGACAGGGGCTGAAAGGCACAGGGGATTCTAGGAATCAGAATTTGAATCACATCAGTATGACTATAAATCTTCAGTCACTATAAAAGGTTCTATGACCAAATATAAACTATTAACTTCTACTGACTTTTGCAATGGGTTTAAATGAGCAATCTTTCTGTTAGGATTATAGTCACTCATAATGAGCGCTTATTCAGTGGTGCATTTAGAAGGAGCCAAGTTAACAGTTATCTTTGAAACCATAGAATTGTGGAAACAAGAATTAAGTAGGTAAAGGTCAAGTATTTTTCTAAGTCATTCTTTCAAATTAAAAATAATACTTAATGATCTCACTCACATGTGGAATCTAAAAAGTTCTTCTCATACAAGTAGAAAGGAGAATATAGAATAGTAGTTACCAGAGAATGGGGAGGGTAAAATACTGTAAGATGCAAGGCTGTTGACTGAAAACAAACAATTCATACATATTTTGTATATTACATGTATATACACTGTATTCTTACAATAAAGTAAGCTAGAGAAGATAAAATGTTATTAAGCAAATCAATCATAAATAAGAGAAGATATATTTGCTATTTATCCAGTGGAACTGGATCATCGTAAAGGTTTTTATCCTCGTCATCTTCATATTGAATGGGGCAAGGAGAGGGAGAAAGCCAGGGGTTGGTCTTGTATCAGGGATGGCAGAGGTGAAAGAAAATCCACGTATAAGCAGACCCGTGCAGTCCAAAACTGTGTTGTTCCAGAGTCAACTATAGTTTATATTTTTTTCTAGTGGCTGTCACCCAAAATTTTTGAAATAATAAAAATTCACAAGACAGATAATTAGGTTATTTTAGACCATTTTTCTCATTATGGCAGAATAACAATTGAGTGGATATAATTTTAGTTTGCCAGCTGGCCTTGTCACTTGCATGCTGACAGATACCTGTTTTGAATGAACTGGCAGATTGCTAAAATGTTGTTTTGTGGTTGTTATCTGTTCATTTAACTTTGAAAATGGATATAAAATTTAGTGATGAAGAGTAAGTTTTAAAAATGGAAAAGTAACCTTTTTGAATGAACTGCCAGATTGCTAACTTTTTTTTGTTTTTTTTTTTTTGGTTGTTGTCTGTTCATTTAACTTTGGAAATGGATACAAAATTTAGTGATGAAGAGTAAGTTTCAAAAATGGAAAAGTAACCTTCTCTGGTTACTTAGTGGGTTATTCAGTAGGTAGAGGTTTTGTATTTTTCTAAGTCCCTCTTTCAAATTAAAAATAATACTTAATGATCTCACTCATACGTGGAATCTAAACAGTTGTTCTCATAGAAGTAGAAGAGAGATGGTAGAATAGTGGTGACTAGAGGAAAGGGAGGATAAAAGACTACAGAGTGCAAGACTGTTGACTGAAAACAATCAATTAATACATACAAGCGAATTAATTGTATTAATTGCCCATGTCCTTGCTTACAAAGAAGATGCGAAGCAATTGATCCTTTTTTGTCACCAGTTTTTAGCGAGGACTGGTAGCTTCTCAAGGGTGAAATTTGTTTCTTACTCATGTTTTCTTCATGCATGTTTAGCACATACCATGTAACTTCTTAACACTGTTGAATTAAACGGGCACTAGCATAGCCACTACTCTTTGGATTGTTTCCGTGGTTTGGAACAAATGTTCACATATAAGGATTCTGAAGTTCCACAGTCCTTTAATAACATTGGACAGCATCCAGATGCTTGAGTTGCTAGGGATATTCTTGGTAGGGATATTCAAGTTGGAGACGCTTGAGTTGGTAGGGATATTCTTTTTTTTTTCACTTCCAGCTGTTTGGAAATGCTTACAAATTTTTAATAGCCAGCAGTATATTTTTCTCCTATGATTCCTGTAAACATTGCCTCATGTGAATATACTTAAGACCCACTTTCGCCTGAAATTAGCCTCTTTAACTTGAAAACTAAAATGTCAGCACAAATTCCAGCACAGCTGGAAGTCATCGAACAATCAATATCTCTACTGATCTAGGCTTCTCAATCTGTGTAGAGTTCAGTAGTTATTAAAGAACTTAGAGCCCAGCCAGGCGCAGTGGCTCACAGCTGACACTTTGGGAGGCTAAGGCAGGCGGATCACCTGAGGTCAGGAGTTTGAGACCAGTCTGGCCAACCTGATAAAACCCCATCTCTCCTAAAAATACAAAAATTAGCTGGGCGTAGTGGTGGGCACCTGTAATCCCAGCTACTCTGAAGGCTGAGGTGGGAGAATAGCTTGAACCTGGGAGACGGAGGTTGCAGTGAGATCACAACACTGCACTCCAGCCTAGGTGACAGAGCGAGACTCGGTCTCAAAAAAATAAAAATAAATAAATAAATAAAAAAGGGAAAAAGAACTTAGACCATCCGAATTTCTGTATTTGAAGTATCTTCCAAACCTCTTAAGGAATCCAAAGATTTGTGGCAATTCTAATACCCATTTAATTCCTCTGGGCTGATATTCTGATTGGACATAAACAAATGAGAGTGACATCTATAATTCTTGTCAATTTCTAGTTTCTCAGAACATAGTATTCTCACTTGCTTACCCAAAAATCATTTCCACTCTATAACACATGTTTTTAATTACAAGCATATTATTTTCATCCTTACATTGAAGTAAAATTTCCCTGGCTCCCAAGAGTAAATTAGTGCCCTTCTTATCTTAATTATAGCCTACCTGATACCGAAATATCCAGGAGTGTGGGATAAGGAAGGAGAGGGCAAGAAATCCAGAAAAATAAAGACTAAAGTGGCAACTTTACCTAAAAAGTATGCAATATATACACCTGAAATTTTGTTTTGTGCCAAAGAATGTTCTCTCTCTCTCTCTTTTTTTTTTTTCTTTTTTTTTTTTGAGCTGGCGTCTCACTCTGTCGCCCAGGCTGGAGTGCAAGGACTGCAACCTCCACCTCCCAGGTTTAAGCGATTCTCCTGCCTCAGCCTCCTGAGTAACTGGGACTACATGCTTGTGCCACCACGCCCAGCTAATTTTTGTATTTTTAGTAGAGACAGGGTTTCACCATGTTGGCCAGGATGGTCTCCAACTCTTGACCTTGTGATCCACCTGTCTTGGCCTCCCAAAGTGCTGGGATTACAGGCGTGAACCTCACCATGTCCGGCCAGGGTGTTCTCTTGAATTAGTGGTTAGCTCTAAGAAGTCAGGTAGTCATCTCACAGTCCAGAAAGAGAGGGGAAGTCAGTAACAGCTTCTGACTAGCATTTATTGAGCATTTATTAATATTATGTGTTGGGTTCTATTCCAACTGCTTTCTGTGCATTAAATAATTGAATTTTCATTGCAACTCTATGAGATAAGTGCTAGCATTGGCCCTACTTTACAGATGAAGAAACATAGGCATGGAGGATTGATGCATTCTGCTAAAGGACACACAATCATGTGGTAAAGACGCCAGGATACTAGTGAGTCTGCACACTGAAGCACTGTGCTCTACTGCTGTCGAAAGCAGTAAATCTGTACTGCAGCACATTTCCCATGGTGTGTCCCATCTACCTGAAGTAGCCCATTTGTAACCCTTGCCCTTTCTTTTGCTTGAATCCAAATTTGGACTGAATCCTGTAAAGCATCCTCTGACTCAGCCATACAGAGCTGATATGTTGATCTCTGTGTTTCTACTAAGCCAGATATATACTTCCACCAAGAAATTTAGGGCAGTGTGTTTTGCATTTGTTCATTTAGAGGTGTATCTTCTTTCCCACTGGACTTAAAGAGCATTGAGAGTAGAGTTAATATGTCATCTGTTTCCTAACTAACAGTATTTACCAGAGTTCTGCTCAAAAATTTGAATGAATGTCAAGTGACTTCAGGTTGTTCAACCTGTCTTCAAAAACAGACCTGCCAGTGATCTTAACCATCTCTTCTAGAAAATATAGCTACTACCTTGAGTTTCACATGTTCTGTGGCAACTCAGTAGGCATGTTAAAATTCTGGAAAAGCTTTTGTGAATTGTGGTGCACATTCTATCTGGTTTCTCTGATACTTCCAAAAGTTAGAGTCAATAAAGAATTCTTTAGCTAAAGGAATTTATCAGGGATCTTGGGAATTCACATTCTCTATCACATTACTTGTTATTCAGGTGGATGTGTCCCTACCTGATGTACTTAATACGAACATTTTATCAAAGTACATTAATTTTTATCAAGCTAATGTATTTTTTGTTAAAGTAAGCAGCTTTAATTTAATTATAATTATCATACTATAACGTCTATTCTTTAATGTGTACAATATGGTGACTTTTAGTACATTTATGGAGTCATGTAACTACATTATCTAGTTTTAAAAATATTCTCCTCATTGTGGCCATCCCAATAACTGGAATTATAAAATATGTGACTGCTGTTACTGGTTTATTTCACTTAGCATATTTTCAGGGTTCGTCCATGATCATGTATGAGGATGTCATCTGTTTCCAAAACCAAATAATATCCCATTGTATCTATATACTATATTTTATATCTCCATCCATCAGTGATGGACATTTGAGTTGCTTCTAACTTTTGCCTATTATAAGTAATGCTTACACATTATGCTTATGAGTATTCATCCACAAGTTTGTGTGACATATGTTTTCAATTATTTGGGGAATATATTTATGAGTTACCAATTAATGGATCAAATGATAACTCTCTGATTGTCAAACTGTCTCCCAAAGTGCTTGTAACATTTATAAACACATCAGTAATATGTACAAGTGTTCCACTTTCTCCACCTCCTTGTCAACACTTATTGTTGTCTATTTTTTTTTTAATTTTAGCCATCTTAGTGGTTATGATACAGTATTTCATGGTGGATCTGACTTGCACTTCCCTAATGTCTAATGAAGCTGAACATCTTTTCATGTGCTTATTGGTCATTAGTGTATCTTTTTCAAAGAAATAGCCATCCAAATATTTGCCTATTTTTAATTTAATTAATTAATTAATTTTGAGACAGGGTCTCACTCTGTCTCCCAGGCTGGAGTGTAGTGGCATAATCTTGGCTTACGGCAACCTCCACCTCCTGGGCTCAAACGATCCTCCCACCTCAGCCCCCTGAGTAGCTGGGACTATAGGAGCATGCCACCATGCCCAGCTAGTTTTTGTTTTATTTTGTAGAAAGGGGGTCTCACTACGTTGTCCAGGTCTCAAACTCCTAGGCTCAAGTGATCCACCTTCCTTGATTTCCCAAAGTGCTAAAGTTACAGGTGTGAGCCACTGCACCCAGCCAATACTGTTATTTTTAATCATCTATTTATTGTTGCACTGTAAGAACTTTTTGTATATTCCAGATTCAAATCCCTTATTGATCTACTTGCAAAGATTTTCTTCCATTCTGTGAGTTGTCAATCTACCTTTATGATGATGTTCTTTGACGTAGGACACCTTGCCTAATTCAAGTTCATGAAGATTTACTCCTATGTTTTCTTCTGAGTTTTATAGTTTTGTCTCTTACATTAAGGTTTATGGTATACTTTTGACCTAACTTTTGTATATACTGTAAATTAGGAGCCCAAATTCATCCATATGAATGTTAATATCCAGTTGTCCCAGGACCATTTGTTGAAAAGACGGTTGTTTTCCCATGGAAGTGTCTTGGCATCACTGTTGAAAATCAATTGTTGAAAATCTATTTTATAATTATTGCTTTATCCACTTGTCCTACAAATCGGGTAGAGAAGAAATGTGTTACAAACAAAAACATATTTTATATTTGCCCACGTATTTACACTTACTAGGACTTTTTATTTCTTTGTTTGGTTTTGATTCACTTTGTGGTATCCTTTCATTTCAACCTAAACAAAAACAAACCCTTTATTATTCCCTGTAGAGAAATTCTGATATATATGTATATATACATATGTCACACATATATATATCAGAATACATATATATATATATATATATGTTTCTTTGTTTATTTTTTTATTTTTTTTATTTTTTTTATTTTTTGACAGAGTCTCGCTCTTTCGCCCAGGCCGGACAGCAGTGGCGCTATCTTGGCTCACTGCAAGCGCCGCCTCCCAGGTTCATGCCATTCTCCTGCCTCAGCCTCCTGAGTACCTGGGACTACAGGCACCCGCCACCACGCCTGGCTAATTTTTTTGTATTTTTAGTAGAGACGGAGTTTCACCGTGTTAGCCAGGATGGTCTTGATCTCCTGACCTCGTGATCCGCCCACCTCGGCCTCCCAAAGTGCTGGGATTACAGGTGTGAGCCACTGCGCCTGGCCATATATATCAGTTTTTGTCTCTCATTCTTAAATCCCCTTATTGAAAGATTTGCCTTAAACCAAACTTCCAATTCTTAATAAATTCTTACCTTGCCTCCCCTGTACCAATACATGGCCAATGCTCAGTAGAGATACTGTTATCCCTTGCAACACAGGCAGTGAGTTCAACTTAGTGTTACCAATGTGTTGTGTTGGTGATATTTGGGAAGCCAGTGTTCCACACCTCCTTTATAAAAGCAAGCTCAAAGTTCTGTGACTTTTCAACATTTCCTGTAAGTCAAATATAAGTATTTAAATGTAGCTACAGAAGACACAAGTGGTTCCAAAATAGGTTGTAAGTAGGGAAGTCGGGTGCTGTGTACTGTTAAATGGAAATGTCAACATCTACATTTTTTTCACGAGACTGTACCAGAGGCAGCAGTGCCCCAGCCATATCATCTCAGCACTTACCCTGATGAATTGTTTAATTCTACAAACTTGTATAGACCATACATTATAACATTTGCCAACAATAGGGTCCCAAAGATAAATAGGATGGTTTTCCTTTCCTCAAAGAGATTATTATTTAATTGGGGAAAATCAAACAAGCACATGAATCCAATAAAGAGTGAAAAAATTTACAGTCTATGGGGGATTGCATGAGGCACATGGAGAAAGTAACTCATCAACAAAGAACAGATGTTTAAGATAAACCTTGAAAAATACAGTAGGGTTGATTTCTGCAAACTGAAATATTATTTTTTAAACATTCTTATTTTTACACCTACATGTATCTTTCTCACCACTTACCAACATATCTCCATTTCCATCAAAACATCTTAAATGAATTACCCACTATCCTAGTATTTCCTCCCTTAATCTTTATTCTTCAAACTTCTATAGATGGTTTCCAAAACATACCATTCATTAAAACTGCTCTCACCCAGGTCACTAGTAAGCTCCTGTATACAAATCTCCACTAAAGTTTTAATTCTTATCTATCTTTACTTCTTGGTCTACTTGATGCTTGTTTTTTGAAAGTTTAATCTCATTTTTAGTATATGTCAAGCATCCTCCCCCAGTTTTCTTCCTGCATCTTTGGTCACTTCTCATTTTTGTTCATGGAATTCTTTTTATCACCTTACTTTATGTAATTAGTCTGTCAGGACTTCCATGACAAAATGCCATAGACTGTGTGGCTTAAACAACAGGCTCTTATTTCCTCACAGTTCTGGAGGCTAGAAGTCCCAGATCAAGGTGCTAGTAGATTTGGTTTCTGAAGAGGGCTCTGTTTTTAGCTTGCAGACAGCTGCCTTCTTGCTGTGTCCTCAAATGGCCCTTCTGTGCACGCCTGAAGAGAGAAGGAGAGGTGGTGTCTTCTCCTCTTCTTATACAGACACTGGTCCTTCAGATTAAGTCTCACCCTTGCAAACTCCTTTAGCCTTCATTACCTCTCTAAAGACCTTATCTCCAAGCATAGTCACATTGGGGGTTAGAATGCCAACATACAGATTTTGGGGAGACACAATTCTATCCATAACACCTTACTTTAGATAAATGGAATAGGAAGGTGTTGTGTATACAAGAAAAATAAACTATTATTGGTGGAAAGAGGTGGGAGAGAAGGGTCCATCAGAAGGAAATGGCTAGAAGCAGAAAGCCATGTTTTTTGTGTGGCTAGAATGTAGGATGCAGGGTGAACAGAAATATTGGAAAGAGATGAGTTTGAAAAAATGAGGTTGAGGAGAGATAGTTCAAGGCTTTGTGTGATAAGCTAAAGCGTTTGGGTAACTTAGTACTTTGTAATACCAGTGGCAGGCAAAAAAATAAGAATAAAGCAAGGCCAGGTGATGCTTGATAGTGGAATAATTTCTCAATAAGTTGTGATTCAACTAATTCCAGTTAGATCTCTTTGAATGAATAGAACACTAGATAAGCCTACCTCTTCATGTACTAAATAAATAACACTTAGACAGGACAATATCACAGATTTTGTCAAAGCTGCAAGAGATCAACAACAAAAAAGTTACATACATAAAAAATAAATGTCTGTTCAGAATTGTTCAAAAGCAAAGCCTGCCACTAGTGATACTCAGTGCATCCCTGTAAGCTTCCTACTTTAATCCTGAAGTTATCATCTGATGCCAGTTAATGGTTACCAGGATTATTTGAACTCTGAAGAAATGCAAAACCATTATTTAACAAACTTACTGTAACATAAGAGTCAACATGACAGGCGTGAATCGACCAGTCGGAGTGAAATTCTGTTTGTTTTGAGATCCCAGGCATCTGAACTCCCTCCTGTATTTGAAAAGCTCTCCAGCTCATAAGACAGAGCCTGCTTCCCACTTTAGAAGTTGAAAATGACAAAGGTGATTTCCCATCTACCCTTGCAGCTGAAGTATGGGCATAGGATCTGGCTGAACTTATCAAACCCACTTGCTCACAACTTTGAATCAAGCTAGTGACACACAGAACCAGAAACCGTAAAGAGTCACTTGTGATGGAGGTGAAAGCAGTTTCCAGAGACAGAGGCGTCAGCATCAGTACCAACACCAGTGCTGTTGGGAGGTGCACCCCTCCCAGCAGTGGCATTGTCTTCAGGGGACCAGTTATGCATGTAACCTGGGCATACCCTTGGCTGCAGAGTCTCAAAACCTGGTCTTTAACCATTCTAGAGAGACCATGAGATACTCAGCATTGTTTTTGGTTTTGTTTGTTTGTTTGTTTTGAGACAGAGTCTCACTCTTGTCACCCAGGCTGGAGTACAGTGGCACAATAGCTCACTGCAACTTCTGCCTCCCCCGTTCAAGCGATTCTCCTGTCTCAGCCTCCTGAGTAGGTGGGATTATAGGCTCCCACCAGCATGCCCGGCTAATTTTTATACTTTTAGTAGAGATGGGGTTTCACCATGTTGGCCAGGCTGGTCTTGAACTCTTGACCTCAGATGATCTGCCTGCCTCAGCCCGCCAAAGTGCTGGGATTACAGGCACGAGCTACTGCGCCTGGCCCATACTCAGCATTATTTTGGCAGGTTTTTCCTGTTTAACCACTAAGGCCAGGTGCAGTGGCTCATGCCTGTAATCCCAGCACTTTGGGAGGCCGAGGTGGGTGGACTACTTGAGGCCAGGAGTTCAAGACCAGCCTGACCAACATGGTGAAATCCTGTCCCTACTAAAATTACAAAATTAGCCAGGCATGGTGGCGCACACCTGTAATCTCAGCTACTTGGAAGGCTGAGGCACAAGAATTGCTTAAACCCAGGAAGCAGAGGTTGCAGTGAGCCAAGAACGTGCCACTGCACTCCAGCCTGGGTGACAGAGTGTAACTGTGTCTCCAAAAAAAAAAAAAGAAAAGTTAAAAAAAAAAAAAGAATCGAGGTTAATTGAGGTTACAGGGTAAATGCTACTTCAAAATCTGAAGGGACAGGTTACAGAGAATAGCAACAAATCAGTTCACCTGGAGCAGAAGCCCTAGAGCCATAAACTGATAGGAAAATTGACATGATTACATGATTTGGATCCGTGTCCCCAGCCAAATCTCATGTCGAATTTTAATCCCCAGTGTGGGAGAAGGGGCCCGGTGGGAGGTGATTGGATCATGGGGATGGATGTTCCCCTTGCTGTTCTCATGATAGTGAGTGAGTTCTCATGGGATCTGGTTGTTGAAAAGTGTGTGGCATCTCCCTCTTCTCTCTCTTGCTCCTTCTCCACCCATGTAAATGTACTCACTTTCCTTTCACCTTCCACCACGATTAAGTTTCCTGAGGCTTCCCAGCATGCTTCCTGTACAGCCTGTGGTACTGTGAACCAATTAAACCTCTTTTCTTCATAAGTTACCCAATCTCAAGTAGTTCTTTATAGCAATGTGAGAAGAGACTAATAGAAAAATGTAATGATAATTTTGACAAATTTCTAGGGGCTGAGTGTACATTCGCTTGGACATGGATTGGCTCCAGTCTTGGGGGTTTTACAGTTGTGTGGGTTTTAGCTCCAGTAATTCCACTGGCCTCTCATGTTGAATATCTGAGAAGAACCTCCTCTGCTTTCAGGAGAGAGAGAGGAAAGAAACCATTTGGAATTACGCCCAGAGTGTTTGTCTGAACGAAAGTCTATTTCCCAAAGGAAAACAACTTTATCAGAGCCTTATCTACCTGGAAAAGCAAAGTACTGAACACCAGGCCCCTATAGCTTTTCTGTCTCTACTAGGAGAAGGGAGGAAAAAGAATAATAAACACTTCCGAAGATCACAGTCCAGACACTCCTGGCTACTAAAACCAGATTTAATCATAAATTTATAGAATATGTCTACTCCCCTTCCTGCTAACACCACATCAGTAGGGCTTCAATAAAATGAAAATGTATTAAAGCTGAGGGAGCTAAAAGACAATCTATTTAAGAAAGTTCTTAGGAAAACATAGACAACTAGCAACTACAGAAAGAAAAAAATCGATAATATAAATGGAAGCCTCTGTTACCTACAGTTGTAAGCAAACGTTAGACAGAGCTGAGCTTCTGGCTGGATTAACATAAAACCTCCAACTAAGGCTTATATACCTTCTATTACCCAATATAGTATATCCAGCTTTCAAGTAAAATTATAAGGCAATTTACAAAACACAGTCTGAAGAGACAAAGCATCAGAAACAGACTGAGATACAAATCAGATTTTGAATTATTAAATATATACTTTTAAATAACAAACATTGGTATGTTAAGAAATCCAGTGAAAAAGTAGAAAACATGAAAGAACAGGTGGGTAATGTCAGAAGAGGAATGGAAACTCTAAGAAAGAATTAGGAAAAAAATTGCACACATCAGACTATGGTAAATAAAGAAAAAAGGAATACCTTCCATGGGCTCAGCTGTGAACTGCACAAGGCCAAAGAGAAAATAATTGAGCTTGAAGATATTCTAATAGAAACTTTTAAGACTAAAACACAAATAGAAAAAATAATGAAAAAAATAAATATCCAAGAGCTATAGAACAATTGCAAATGATGTAAATAAACATAACGCTAATAATAGAAAGAGAAGACCTAGGGAAAGGAGAAGATGAAATATTTAAAGTAATAATAGCAAAGAATGTACTAAAACTAATGACAGACATCAAACCACAGATCCAGGAAGCTCAGAGAACACTGTGTTAGTCTGTTCTCATGCTGCTGATAAAGACATACCTGAGGCTGGGTAATTTATAAAGAAAAAAAGGTTTAATGGACTCACAGTTCCACGTGGCTGGGGAGGCCTCACAATCATGGTGGAAGGTGACGGGGACATCTTACATGGCAGCAGGCAGGATAGAAAATGAGAACCAAGTGAAAGGGGTTTCCCCTTATAAAACCATCAGATCTCATGAGACTTATTCACTACCAGGAGGACAGTATGGGGGAAACTGCCACCATGATTCATTTACCCCACACTGGGTCCCTCTCACAACATGTGGGAATTATGGGAGCTACAATTCAAGATGAAATTTGGGTGGGGACACAGCCAAACCATATCAAACACCAAGAAAGACAGATAACAAAAATCTACACGTAGGCATATCCTATTCAAACTGTAGGAAAACAAACAAAATGTAATAATGTCGAAAGAAGTCAGAGGGAAAAAGTCTTACCTATAGTGGAACAAGAAAAATATTACATTGGACTTCTCATCAGAAATTCTGCAATCAAGAAGAGAATGGAAGTGAATTTTTTATGTGTTGAAAGAAAAAAAATCTAGAATTTCATACCCAGTAAAATTATTATTTAAAAGTGAAGGAGAAATAAAATCTTTCTGAGGCATATGAAAATTGAGGGAATTCATGATCAGAAGACTTACCCTGCAAGAAATGAAGTTCTTCAGGAAGAAGTAAAATGATATAGAATAGGAATTTACATATTTTTTTAAGTAAAAGATCATCAAAGAAGGAATTAATAATGGTAAAATAAAATCATTTAATTTTTTATTACTTGATATAATAGGCAACTGTTCCAAATAAATTATAGCAAAAAATATATTAGGTAATTTTTACTTATAGATAAACAAAATAAATGAAAGCAATGTTATAAGGAAAAGAGGAAGAGTATTTGGGACCACTTTGTTTGGTGATGCTGACATTACCCATGAAATAGGATAGAGATATTTGACTTAGATTAGTTATAGATGTATATTGCAAACTCTAGATCAACAACTAAAAAATTGTTTCAAAGAGGCGTAATTAATATGTTGAGAAAGGAGAAACTATATAGTGATAAAGTCATCAATTTTCCAAGAAGATTCAACCATCTTAAAGCTCTAAACACTTAACGACAGAGCAAATACATGAACAAATACATGAGACAATGGAATCATATAAAATGGTCAATTAAAATCAAAGAATGCAGAAAAAGAGAAGACAAAAATAGAAACAAAGAACAAGCACATAAATAGAAAACAGTTACAAACATAGTAGATATTGGCCCAAGTATATCAATAATCACTTCAAATGTGAATGTTCTATGTGCACTGATTAAAAGACAGAGTAATTGTTTTTAAAGGCCCTAATTCTTTGTTTTCTACAAGAAGTCTGCTTTAGACATGTAGACATATATGGTTTAAAGAGATAAAAAAGGATGTATCGCACTAACAGTAGTCAAAGGGAAACTGTAGTAGCAAAATGACTTGCAGACAAATCAAATGCCACATCAAGGAAGATGGTTGCAGATAAAGGAGAGGATTACATAGTGATAAAGTTATCAATTTTCCAAGAAGATTTAACAGTCTTAAAGCTCTAAGCACTTAACAAGAGAGCAAATATTAAAATTCATGAGACAAAGACTAGCAGAACTCAAAAGAGAAACAGGAAAATCCACTGTTACAGCTGGAGAATTTAACCCTCTGTCTAAATAATAGATCAGGCAGACAGAAGTCAGAAAGGATGTGTACGATATGAACAGCACTATTAATCAACTAGATCTGTTGATATTTATAGAATACTGTATCCAATATCAGCAGAACACACATTCTTCTTGAGTTCACATTAACATTCCTCAAGATAGACCACATCCTGGTCCATAAAACACACCTCAACAAGTTTAAAACAATAGAAATCCTACAGTGTCTGCTCCCAAACCACAATGGAATTAAACTGGAAAACAATCACGGAAAGATAGCTGGAAAATCCCAAACTATTAATACTTGAATATTCAATAACACACTTCTAACACATGGGTCAAAGAAATCTCAAGATAAATTTGTAACTATTTGGACTAAATAAAAATGAACATAAAACATCAATATTTGTGAGATGCAGCAAAAGCAGTGCTTAGAGGGAAATGTATAGCATCCACTGCATGCATTGGAAAAGAAGAAAGGTTTAAAATCAATAGCCTACCCCTCCATTTTTGGAATGTAGAGAATGTATATTTGAAGTATATTTGAAGTTGCAGCCCAAATGGAAATTCAAGCAGAATCAATGAAATTAAAGAGTGAAAAACAATAGAGAAAATCAATGAAACCTAATGTTGCTCTATGAAAAGATAAATAAAATTTTTAAACCTTTAGTGACACTAACAAAAGCCAGAGAGAAGACATGCATTACAATATTAGAAATCAAAGAGGAACCATTACCACTGATCTTGTAGACATTAAAAAGCTAATGAAGGGGCAGGGTGCAGTGGCTCAGGCCTATAAACCCAGCACTTTGGGAGGCCAAGGCAAGCGGATCACCTGAGGTCAGGAGTTTGAGACCAACCTGGTCAATACGGTGAAACCCTGTCTCTACTAAAAATACAAAAATTAGCTGGGTGAGGTGGCACATGCCTGTAGTCCTAGCTGAGTCAGAAGAATCTCTTGAGCCTGGGAGGTGGAGGTTGCAGTGAGCCAAGATCGTGCCACTGCACTCCAGCCTGGGCTACAGAGTAAGACTCCGTCTAAAAAAAAAAAAAAAGAAAAACTACTGAAGGAAAATGATGACCTATGGACCAATAACATTACAGAATAGGGAATCTGAATCATAATTGAAATAAAGAAGTGGCCATAACTAGAAATCCTTAACTTGGATTTGTTTATGCTATCCTAGGAGACTTTTGAGTTGACCCTGATTAGGGAATGATTTATTTTTATAAGGGATAGGTTTGGTTAGGTGAAAGCATCTTTCCACCTACCTTCCCTTCTCTCTCTCCCCCAACATCTCTCTCTAAAGGTACTTTAATCATTATAATTTATTTTTTAACTATCCAACAAAACTCTATAATTTATTAATTTATGTGGTCTCTTGTTTTAGTATTTCCTCCCCTGCCTGAATGTAAACTCCACAGTGGCAAGTATCTTGATCTGTACTGTTCATGGTTGTATCCTCAGCAACTACATTATTACTGGAACCCAGTACGAAATGTATAGATCTGTGCTAAATGAATTTCAGCTGCTGAGGAGTATATGTTGTAGATCTATGCCATTGCTCCTGTCACCTGATGCGAATACCCTTTTCACCTGTGAGGAATTAGCACCTGAGGTAGCAAAGCCTACTAACCACCAGGGCAGCGTCAGTCAAAATGTTCACTCCCCCTCTTCCCCTGTAGGGAAGATATGGGAACATGTTCTAGGCTGTAGTCATCAATAGGCCAACCTCAGTCTTTGAAACAGAAGCTAGAGGTGCAGGGAGGCATAAATGTACCAAATCCGTTCTGTCAAGGATGGCGGCAGTAGAAGAAGGTAGTGCTGGTTTCTGTAGACAGCAAGGACAGCAGCTCTCTTTCAGCACTCCACCCTGCGCATTGTTGATGCCTATGATATCATTCCTAAGGTGTGTTCTTGAAACCAGTTTATAGTATACCTGCAGGTGCGGTTCCTGACTCCTTGTGCTCCAAGACCAGGTAGGTCTCCAGGCCTCTCAGAGATTTTATGAGCTATGAAGTATTCTTTTAAATAAATATTAATTGTCTAAATTGGCTAAAGTTGTTTTCTGTTGCTTACATTCAAGCATCTCAAGATGCAATAAAACTTTCAGCAGCACACCACATTAAGTATCCAGATCAAAGCCACAAGCAATTTTCAAATGTTTTAGCCAATGTTCTCTCTACCCCTCAATAATACACATAAGAATTATAGAACTCTGGCCGGGTGCAGTGGCTCGCTCTTGTAATCCCAGTACTTTGGGAGGCCAAGGCAGGTGGATTACTGGAGGTCAGGAGTTCAAGACCAGCCTGGCCAACATGGTGAAACCCCATCTCTACTAAAAATACAAAATTAGCTGGGCATGGTAGTATGCGCCTGTAGTCCCAGCTACTCAGGAGGCTGAGGCAGGAGAATCACTTGAACCCCAGGAGGTGGAGGTTATAGTGAGCCGAGATTGTGCCATTGCACTCCAGCCTGGGCAAAAAGAGCACAACTCCATCTTAAAAAAAAAAAAAAATTATAGAACCCTGAAAAGTTTGTGGCCTAATCAGAACAGCAGCACAATAACTTTAATTTCATTGATTTGATGGGAATTGAATTGAATAGAATTATGACAGAATAAGATATTATTTTTATTTAATGAATTAAATGGATTTAAAATTTCTTTAGTCATTTCTTACCAGAGTGTTACAGGAGATTCAGTGCAAATAATGTGTATACGAACAAGGGCAGCATGGTCTTTGAATGACTTGAGGATTTTTAAGACTGACTTTTTTGTGTTTTTTTCCTCTCCTTACCTAGAACACCACTCTGAAATATATCATGCAGTCAATGCAAAACTATGTTAAAGGGAAGTCAGTTAGGATGGTTTTCATTTTCTACTTGATTTTATCGGAAGAGGCTTAGTCCAAAATACATACATACATAATATTAAATGCCAAGTCACTAAAGAAGAAAGCTTGGGTTAGCACCACTTGATCATAGCTTAGAACCATCCTATGCTAAAGAATTTCCCATATGAATAATGTAAGCAATTTCAAAGGCCATGTTGCTTTTCTTTGCCTTTTCGTATTTTCCATCAAATTAATTTAGAACATGCAAATATCCCTTTCATAACTTAATGTGCTACAGTAAACTGCAGAACAATTT
Organism: Homo sapiens; assembly: GCF_000001405.40. NCBI lineage: Eukaryota > Metazoa > Chordata > Mammalia > Primates > Hominidae > Homo > Homo sapiens. Next base: position 9,343,198 of record NC_000010.11, on the reverse strand, counting down.
TTGGGAAAAGGAGGTGGTTTGGATTGAACAGATTCCATGAATTTCTGTGCTAATTTAGCCTGACAGCTCAATGATTGTTCTATACACAAAGTTAAAACAGCAGAAACAAAGAGCTTAGCAGCAGGCACTCGAGAAGTTCTCTACTGCTCTCTGCTGGTTGCTATGTGATAGCCTTTAATTCTGTAGGCTTTTATCTTTAGGTGGGAAAAAAAGCTAATGTTGGGCAAAAGGTTTGCTTTCTATATCATAATTCACGTATGTACTTTAGATAATAGGAAGGTATCAATAATACATACAGAACACGTTTAAAATGCAGGCTATTGTTTTGAGATTTCTGCATTGCCAACAATGGCAACTGAAGAGATACTTATTTTCCAGCATTATGTTTTGGAAGGATAATTAGGATAATATATTCCCTCTTTATAATTTGCAGAAAATTTTCTTTTGCTTCTTCTATGTTTGAAAGTAAGTCAATTTGTTTACTTCTGAGTAATTATTGACCTACTATGCCTGGCATTCCAATGGACTGTTCTTCATCAAATAACTAGATTTTTATTACTTGTTATCCTCAAATGACTTAGAAGGCTTTCCCAGCAGGAGAAGGAGGAAAAAAGATAAAAGATGAGAAATGAGCTTACAATCTACTAGGATTTCTTGATGAGGTGAAATAGAAACATAGGCTTTATCGATGAGAGATATATCAAATGAGGTCTATGAGTGTTTTCTGAATTCTGTCTAGCAAAGGGCTCTTTTTATAATGGTGACATGCCATCAAAAATGGCATCTAAAAATTAAGGAAAATAATTACCTCTCTCTCTTCTCTCTTACCTCTCTCTTTCTCATATCTCTCTTTCTTTTTTTTCTCTCTCTCTCCTGTCTCTTTTTCTGTCCTAATTCCTAATAATGGAAAAGAGTAAAACTATAAGCCAAAGGTAAAAAAAAAAAAAAAAGTAAAGAAGTATCAGAAAAAACTGTAATTTGAATCATGTGCTTATTAGCTAATGCTTACAAAAATCAAGCACACACATCACAGAAAATAAACTGTGAGAATTCTGCTAAGTAGTGATTTTAAGATCAATATTTTGGGAGAGCCAGGTAATTAACTGTACCGTGGAAGGGCTCTGGAGCGGACCTAGACAGACTTTGAGTACTATTCTATGTGTGATAAGGTGATGTCATGAGAAGGGGCTGGAGATAAAGATGGAAGTGAACGTATGGGTGGAATTAGCCATCCTGCTTAGGAGAAAAAGAGGAAAAGCAGAGTGGAGGGTGCAGCCTCTCAACCGCCATTTATCAGCATGACACTCATGTCCTATAAAGTTGCTGAGATGGAGAATAGGATAAATGTGAGTCTCTGTCTCTCTTCAGAGAAAATTCATATTAATCAGGATCAATCAGACCAATAGAAATAATCCTGGTATGTTAAAAAGGAAGGAATTTGATGGAGAAGTCGATGTTTGCAAAACCATTAGAATGACTGGGCAATAGAGACCCCTGATGCCAAGAACTAGCCTTCAGGAAACCAGAAAGAACTGGAATCACAGGAGTCTGCCGGGGTGCCTGTTGCTAGCTACCTGGACTACCAAAGTGAGTGGTTCTCAGTAGGATGCCACCTCTTTACATATTAAATAGCCAACAAATCTTCCTACATGTCTTTGGGCCTCAAAACCCATTTATGGAGATGTTTCATATTTATACGTAGTCCTATCTGTCATTAGTCTTTATGGCTTCTGGATTTAGTGTCTTATTTAGGGAGGAATTTTCTAATGCAATATGGCAAAGATACATTTTATGTTCTAATATTTTCTGTCTAATAAATGGTTTCATTTTTAAGTTTAATTCATCTGATATTTATTTACATATTATCATTCCAGATTGAACTGCAGAATCAACCTGTAAAATTTCATTTCAAATATCCCTTAGAGATTTTGATTGTGGTTAGATTGAATATATGGATTAATTTTAAAGGAAATTTGCTCTTTGTAATATGGAAACTTTTCTCTCTTTTTTTTTCAAAGGTTGATATGTCTCTGTTTTAATTTTTGTGGGTACATAGTAGATGTATATATTTGTGTGATACATTGGATGTTTGGATATAGGTATAAAATATGAAATAAGCACTTCATGGAGAATGGGGTACCCATCAAGGATTTATCCTTTGAGTTACAAACAATCCAATTATGCTCTTTATTTTAAAATATACAATTCAGTTATTATTAACTAGCCACCCTGTTGTGTTCCTAATGAAAAGCTTCAATACTGTTTACAATGTTAAAACTTTCACTCAGAAACAGTGTTTCTTGTTCTTAAATTACTTTTTTAATCTATCAGTAAAATGTTATAGCTTTCTTTCTTTAAACTGTATTCTTTTCTTCCTAGGTTTAATCCTAGATATTTTGTGTATTTTGAGAAAGGAATCTTATTTCTTTTATTTTTACAAAATTGCGATCACTAATACATTGAGAATCATTAATTTCTGTATGTTATTCTGGCATCCAGTCACACTCAAACTCATCTATAATTTTTCATTATTTTTCTATTGATTGTCATGCCTTTTTAAGTCTAAATATAGAGACTTTTTTTCTCTTCCTCCTCTACTATTTTTTATTTCTGATTGTATTGGAAACCTGTCATTATTATTATTTTTGCTGCTGTTTTCTAACATATGTCATTAAGAAAGTATCCATTATCCCAAGTCTAACAGTTTTCAACAGAAACAGTTGTAAATTACAAATTATTTTTGAATCTATTGAAAGGATTTATTAGTGTTTTGTCTTCTTTACTCTAAAGCCAGCAAATCATTTTAGTGGCTTCTCTTGAATGATTTGCACATTCTGTCATGGATCTTCAATAGCAGCTAGTGGTTCTGGTTATTTTGTAGACCCTTCTTTTGTGCTGTTGAGTTTCCTTACATTATTTAGAGCTTAACAATATTGTTATTATTACTGTTAATTATTTTGTTCTATTTATGTCACACAGCAGAATTTCTTTCTTCTTTCGTTTCTGTTTTTTTTTTTTTTTTGAGACAGTCTCTCTCTGTCACCCAGGCGGATGCTGGCCCCAGGCTTCTTATATACTCTATAGAACCATGAGTCAAAATAAGCCTCTGTATAAATTACCCAGTGCCAGTGTTCCTTTTTAGCAACACAAAGGGAACTAAAAGAAGGGGGGAATACTGTATATGGATTCCTCCAAGAAGTGCAGACTCAGGCCAAATTTAGTTACCCATTCTCAGTGTTTCTGTTGCATGCCAGGCTTATCTCTGCCATGACACTCACCACATCCTGTTTTAATTGTTGAGTCCTTTGCTCTATCCCCCTTGGAAGATAAGCTTTTTTGAGGCTGGTGATTGTGTTTAGTTGTCTTGGTCCTCCTCGAAGGAAGCCTTATTTGCAGAACTGATACTTCCCTGAGGAAGAAGGAATTCCATTAGTGGATAATAGCTTCATCTCCTCCCCAAGTGTCTCTGTCTTATCCATGGTAATTGCCTGCTATATAAATTTTGGACTCGCCTAGGCAACTCTCACAATCATGTAAGCCAATTTCTTTCAATATCTATCAATCTCTCTGTGTCTCTCTCTCTCTATGTTTGTCTGTCTATCTATCTATCTATCTATCTATCTATCTATCTATCTATCTATCATTGTTCTATATCTCTATTTCTATTTCTCTACCCATCTGTCTTAATCTATTTAGGCTACTATAACAAAATACCATAAACTAGGTATCTTATAAACAACAGAACTTTATTTCTCATAGTTCTGGAGGCTGGACTATCTAAGATCAAGGAGTCAACAGATTTGGCATCTGGTGAAGGTTTGCTTCCTAGTTCACAGATGGAACCTTCTCTCTGTGTGACCTCATATGGTAGAAGGGGAAAAGGAGCTTCTGCAGTATTTTTTATAAGAATACTAACCCCAATCATGATGATTCTGCCCTCATGACCGTATCACTTCCCAATGATGCACCTCCTAATACCATGACATTGATGATTAGATTGCAACATGTATATTTGTGAGGGACATAAACATTCAGACCCTAGCTCCATTCATCTACTTATCCATCTTCCACATATCTACACATCTACCCATCCATCATCTGTTGTCTATCTATCTGTTCATCCATCCATCCATCCACCCATCCATCCATTTTACTGGGTATTTTTTCTCTGGAGGGACTCTGACTGACATAATCGTCACTAAATCTTAAAGTGAAATGGATCTTAGCATTCGTACATGCCAGTACGTACATGCGCTAGCCATTCCCCCATGTGCCCTCCAGATTCCATCTCTGCCGTTCTCGTTACACTCTGACTTTGTTGACCGCGTCAGTGAATTCCTTTCTCCTCTGTGTTTAGGTGGATTCAGTCAACAATGGATCCTGGCAGCAGACCAGAGAATACAAGGGAACAAAGTTGGGGTGATTACTCCCTCAGCACCTTTGCTGCTGTGACAGCTTGGCATTCTTTCACCTAAGGCCATAGTTCTTCGAATGAGGTCATTCAAGGAACTCTTTTCTCCACTTTGTATCTCCATGTCTTGAGGTTATAATGGCTCCCTGATATTATTAACACCTGGGTGATGCAGCAGTTTCTGCAAATTGATTTCCTTAAACTGCCCACTCCTTTCCACATAGATTTTTCCATGTGATCTCTTCAGTTATCATATTTGAGTAGTCCACTGTTTCCTACCTGGCCTGAGACTGACAATCACAGATGCAGACAAGCTTTGTACGTTTCCCTCAACACCAGGCTCCACTCCTATTACCACATGGGGAAGTATTAAGAACAGATGAGTTGGAATGGTATGAAAGCAAAAGCCAGACTGCAAACTGAAATAATATGCAGAACCTCCATCACCATGCAGATCCGCTGTGTTAACAATACGGAAAAAGGTAGCAAGTGATAAGTTCGGTTTATTTGATGCTGCTATGAACTATCTATTCTAAGGGGGCAAAGGGAAAAAAAGTAAGTAAAACACAATTTTCTGAGAGAGTTTGAAGGACCATTGCTAAAATAAACACATCATATGGCTCCTCAGATGCAAAATATTCTAACTTTATAACTTGAAAATTCTCATCCAAGAATTTCAAAGCACTTTTTCCATGCAGATGACAAGACCATCAGAAAAATCTAGGACTTCAAACCCTCTGCAGTCTCCTTATGTAACTACAGAGGCTGTCTTGTGTTTTGAGGGCATTTTAAAATCATTCTTCTTATATCTGTTATGTTAAATATCACAGTTGTCAATTTCATTTATAATCATTAGTCTTTCTTAATACCATGAATAAAAATGATCAAGTTTCTCTGTTCCTTATTAAAATTGCATCTAGTTTATCCTGCACTCTTGCCAGCAACCAAACTAACGAAAAGCAGTTAATATATCACAAGGTATCTTAAGCGTTGTATTTCTAGACAAGCTGGCAATATTTTAAGAACTTGGTTTATTACAAAGATTTCTCAATGGAAAGATAAAATCATAAGTAATGATCTAAGTCATTATGCTAACAGTGCTTAGAGTTTTTGAAAGCATTGCTTGAGATCCTTTTAATGATCCACAATAAAACAAATGTAAAAGGTCAAGGGAGCAAATCACAATAGTTGCACATAAACATCTTCATTAACCATTTAAAAGCGCCTAATTTCCTTTAATGGTTTAGAAGTCTAAGGATTTTAAGCACCTACTGACTTTAAAACAAGACCTTTGACATCAGAATATATGGTATCGTAAAGTACATGTGTCAAAGCCTATAATATAGACTATCTTCCACAGTGTCACATTTTATATTCTAACAATGGTTGGATTTGGGTTAAGAAAGATTAGTTCTAGGCACGTTTCTCTTTTTTCAGCTTTGTTGAAGTATAATTGACATAATATTGAATATATTTAAAGTGTATAACATGATATTTGATTTACACATACCTCATTCAATGATTACCCAGATCAAATTAATGAACACATCCATCACCTCAGGTAGTTGCTTTTGTTGTGTGTGAATACATTTAAGATCTACTCTGTTAGAAATTTTCAAAGATACAATACATTATTATTAGCTGTTGTCATCATGCTATACAGTGGATCTCCAGAAATTATTTCCCCTGCGTAACTGAAACTTTGCTCCCTTTGACCAACATCTCCCCAATTTTTCACCCCTCCTCCACATCCCTACAACCACCATTCAACTCTCTGTTTCTATGAGTTCTACTCTTTTAGATTTCACATAGAAGTGAGATCATGCAGTATTTTTCTGTGCCCGGCTTATGTCACTAGCATAATGCCCTGTAGGTTCATACTTGTTGTCATAAGTGGTAGGAGTTCCTTCTTTTTAAACAATGAATAGTGCTCTATTTTATACACACACAAACACACACACACTACATGTATGATATATATATCTCACACATGTATCATATATATCAGGGGTTCCCAACACCCTGGGCCATGGACTGGTACCATTGCATGACCTGTTAGGAACTGGGCTGCACAGCAAGAGGTGAGCAGCGGATGAGCGAGCAAAGCTTCATCTGTACTTACAGCCTCTCCCCATTGCTCACATTACTGCCCGAGCTCCACTTCCTGTCAGATCAGCAGCAGCATTAGATTCTCATAGGATCGTGAACCCTATTGGAAACTGCACATGTGAAGGATCTAGGTTGCACGGTCCTTATGAGAATCTAATGCCTGATGATCTGTCACTGTCTCCCATCACCCTGAGATGGGACCGTCTAGTTGCAGGAAAAGAAGCTCAGGGCTCCCACTGATTCTACATCATGGTGAGTTGTAGAATTATTTCCTTATATGTCACAATGTAATAATAATAGAAATAAAGTGCACAATAAATGTAATGAGCTTGAATCATCCTGAAACCATCCCCCTACATCACCCCCTGATTCATGGAAAAATTGTCTTCCATGAAACCAGTCCCAGGTTCCAAAAAGGCTGGGGTCTGCTGACATATGTGATATAGATGTGATAATCACAATTCCTTTATCCATTCGTCCACTGGTGGATGGTGTGTACTTAGGTTGATTCCATATTTCTATATCTTGGCTATTGAGAATAAGGCTGCAGCAAAAGTGAGAGAGCAGAACTCTCTTTGACATACTGACTTCATTTTCTTTGGAAATGAACCCAGAAGTAGAATTGCTGGATCATATGGTAGTTCTATTTTTAATTTTTGAGGAACCTCCATAATGTTTTCCATAATAGCTGTGCTAATTTACATTCCCACCAAGAGTGTACAATGGTTTTCTTTTCTCCATATCCTCGCCCACGTTTGTTACTTTTGTCTTTTTGATAATAGCCTTTCTAACAGGTGTGAGGTTAGTGAGTAACATTTATTCTAAATATATTTTCGAATGCCTATTATGTGCCAGAAACTCTGCTAGGCTTGAAGAAATTTGGGAATAAAAATATAAAAAGCTATGTTCCCTTTGCTCATAGTTCAGTAGACTCACAGACATGTAAGCAAACAATTTCAGTTCAAGGTGATGACTGCTCTGCTGGACCGTATCAAATGCGTGGGCACCATGTACGCTCACAGACCTATGCCTGATTAAAGAGGCAGGAAAGACTTTATAGAAGAAGTGCAGCAGAACCAAGACTTATTACAAGGAGTTTGCCAGGAAGATGAATGGGGAAAGGTATTCGAATAGGCCTTATCTACTCTATTACTTCAGCTATCGTTGATATGCACATATCTCTGAAAAGTTTATCTTCAGCCAAAATTTATCTCCCACCTTAATGCCTTAATATCACATTTCTAGCAGCATATTTCCATTTGGATATTCCAGTGGCAATTCAAATTTATCCCATCCAGTGTCATCTCTACCTAGCCCCTCTAGAACCAGTTTTGTTCTCACATATTCCCTGTATTGGTTAATGGTATAAACTTCTGCCCAGTAGAACAAGCAAAACTCTCGGGTGTTAGCTTGGAATCTTCATTTTCTCTCATGTCCCATGTTCAATGAGTCACAAAGTTTAGCCAATTCTACCTGTGTTGTTTGTCCTCAGTCATTAAATTTTTATTCCATAGGTTTATGTTTTGATTCAAGTATGCACACTTTCTCCCTAAAAATACCATAACAATATCTTCATTGGCTACCCTGTCTTCACTGGGTCCCTTCAATTTTGTTCTCCTAGTGTTCCCTAGAGCTGCCTGTCTTCATCATCTTGAGTGACTATAATAAAATATCATAAACGGAATGGGTTATCAACAGCAGCAATTTATTTCTCACAGTTCTGGAGGCTGTAAGTCAGAGAGCAGTGTGCTGGAATGGTTATGTGTTCCAGACAGTTGGGATCTAGCACAAATCTGCGCTTTGAATAATGACACTAATAATGATTAGCATGTATTGAAACATACTGTGGCATACTTGGCAATGCTCTAAGAGCTTATAATATTGTGTTTAGCCTTATTTTAAAAATACATTACATATGAAAATCTCAGAAAGCTGCTTGAATCAGATTAAAAAAATGAGTTTTGAAAGCTCTGATAAACCATGATACATTATACCATTACTCTAAATGAATTACACATGTTCCACCTCTATAACTTTAGAGATGGTGAAACTGAGGTGCAGGTTCCAGTGTGAGCACTGCTCCAGGTTGCAGACTGCCTGTTCTCCTTGTGTCTTTGCATGGTGGAAAGAGAGTGAGCTAGCTCTGGCCTCTTCTTATAAGAGCAGTAGTCCCATTCAGGAGGACTCCACCTTCATGACGTAATCACCTCCCAAAGGTCCCACCTCCTAATACCATCACTTTGGGGATTTGATTTCAACATTCAAATCGGGATGAGAAGGCACATTCAGTCCATAACTTTGCCTTTCTGAAAAATACATGGGAATCTATCTCACTGCTGTTTGAAGTCTTTCAGTGGTTTCTCTTTGTTTCTAAAAGCATAGTGTAAGAAGCGCTCCATGACTTGGATTCTCTTGCCTTTCCAGACTTACTTCCATCTCTGCACCTCACTCCCCAGCAGGCATGATGCCTCTCCCACACTTGAATCTTCATGGACGCTCTATTTCTGTTTGAGTGAGTCTCAAATCTCACTCCATCCTTCAACTAACTTCTATTTGCCCATCAAAACTTTGCCCAGCGGCCCTGTTTTCCAGGAACACTCTTCCAACTCGTATTCCTAGTTCACACTCAACCCCACATAGATCTTCCCTCTCTGTATTCCACAAACAACTTGAGGTTGCCGTGCTGTTTTAGCTGTCTGTTTGCCACCTCTTTTTCTCTGTAGACTTTGTGCTTTCGTGTACATCTTGAACATTTCAGAAGTAGCTACATTGTCAACAGTCACTTGTTAAACAGTCCATTTTTTCAAATTACTAATTTTTCATATTAAAGAGTCTAGTTCTGCTTCCTCAAAGAATTTTAACATGAGATATCTTTTTTGAAGTTTTTCATTTAAAGGCCTGGCACGGTGGCTCATGCCAGTAATCCCAGCACTTTGGGAGGCCGAGATGGGCGAATCACCCTTGTGATTGGTGGATGGGCCAAGAGTTCGAGACCAGCCTGGCCAACACGGCAAAACCCTGTCTCTACTAAAAATACAAAAATTAGCCAGGCGTGGTGGCGCATGCCTGTAGTCCCTGTTACTTGGGAGGCTGAGGCATAAGGAGAGCTTGACCTTGGGAGGGGGAAGTTGCAGTGAGCCGAGACCGTGCCACTGCACTCCAGCCTGGGTGACAGAGCAAGACTTTGTCAAAAAAAAAAAAAAAAAAGAAAGAAAGAAACAGAAAGAACTTTTTCATTTAGAGCACCCCTTTCTTTACCTAGCTGCCAAAGATTCCTTTAAAAAGTGCTGTGAGAAACAAAAGATAAAAACTAGGTAAAAAACAATAGTCTTCGAAGTGGAATGTGTATAGAACAAAAATATGCAATTATTCTAAAAATAGGTATTTAGTACTTATTAGATGTTCGTTAGTATAACAGACCTGAAATAACAAGCATAAAACTTACACTCCATGCACTGCATGAGTTTTGATGAGTTTATATGGTTATGCTTAGGGCTTAGAGACCCTTCAATTTCTTAGCTGTATAAACCCAAACGTCACTTTCATCATCTCTAAAGTTATAGAGGTTGAACATGTATAATTAATTTAGAGTAATGGTATAACATATCATGGTTTATCAGAGCTTTCAAAACTCATTCATTTGTTTTATCTGATTCAAGCAGCTTTCTGAGATTGATATTAATATGTAATATATTTTTAAATATGGCTAAACACAATACTATAAGCTCTTAGAGCACTGCCAAGTATGCCACAGTATGTTTCAATACATGCTAATCATTATTAGTGTCATTGTTCAAAGCACAGATTTGTGCTAGATCCCACCTGTCTGGAACACATAACCAATGAGAATGCAGAATCCAGCCCTTTGGTGTCTTCTCCCTACAACTCCAAGGAACCCATTCTGAGCTTCCAGTAAGGCACAGACTTTACTACTTTGGCAAAGAATCAGCACCGTAGTATATATTACAGGTGCACAAAATAAGTAAGTGAGTGAATAAATGAATGATCAGATAAGAACACATATACATTAACCACATCACTCTGTGAGAAATGCTGGCTGTATGTTGATTTGTTCAACAGAAAACTCAAACTCTATATTCTCTGGTTAAAAATAAGACACCTGCGGCCGGGCGCGGTGGCTCACACCTGTAATCCCAGAACTTTGGGAGGCCGAGGTGGGCGGATCACGAGGTCACGAGATCGAGACCATCCTGGCTAACACGGCGAAATCCCGTCTCTACTAAAAATACAAAGAAAAAAAAAAAAGAAAGAAAAAGAAAAAAAAGAAAGAAAAAAAAATTAGCCGGGCGTGGTGGTGGGCGCCTGTGAGAAAGGCGTGCACCCAGGAGGTGGAGCTTGCAGTGAGCTGAGATGGTACCACTGCACTCCAGCCTGGGCGATACAGCGAGACTCCGTCTCAAAAAAATAAATAAACATAAAAATAAATAAATAAGACACCTGCCTAGAACTGAAAAAACTCTAGAGAAAGAAAATTGACTGTTGGTGACCTAGGGCTGGGATGGAGGGGGTGCCTGGACACAGACAAGGATTCTTTTGGGGGTGACAAAAATGTTCTAAAGTTCAATTGTGGTGATGGTTGCACGACTCTGTATATACGAAACCTATTAAATCGTACATTTGAAATGGGTGAACTTCATGATGTGTAAATTATATATTAATAATACTGTTTTTTATAAAAAGAGTAAACAAGAAAAAAGTGGCCATTTAGCACACAGGTTTCTTGAACGAGTGAATGAATGAATTTGAGAAAACAATTGAAGCCAAGAAATATCATATTATTTTCCAGGTATGAGCTACTTTTCTTTAAACTGCTTTACATTTCACCTTCTGGCTCATTCAAGGCCACTTAAAAATGGATTTCATTCTAGACTTATTTTTAGAAACTGCGTAGTCAGCATTTGGATAGGCTAATTATACTTGACTGCCATCTAGTGGTAGTAAAGGTGACTGCTCTATTTTAAGTACCTATGAATATTAGAATAACCATCTCAGCAATACGATGAATTATAGATTTCAAAGCCCCTTCACATAATCTCCCTTACTCAGCTTTCTGAAAAGTGCTATTAACTTCATATTATTATTAGACCTAATAAAAAATAATATCTACAATCTATGCATTGTTTTGTCTCCTCTCCCTTCCCCTCTCCCCCACCGGAGGTAGAATAATCACATAATGCTGCCTTTCTGGCCACAGGGGTCACCTTAAGACCCAAACTGGCCTGATCCACCTGCCTCATATGACCGGCAGGAGCAGGAGCTTGTGGGGCACGTGACCCAAGCTGAGCTACTCAGAAGATCCCTGGAGATTTTGAAATACAGTTAATTAAAACCCCTCCCAGGTTCAAGCGATTCTCCCACCTCAGACTCCTGAGTAGCTGGGATCACAGGTGCCCGCCAATACGCCCAGCTAATTTTCGTATTTTCAGTAGAGACGGGGTTTTTTCTTTGCTCTTAAGCCGTACAAGCATCAATCCAGAGTGTCTCGTAGTCGTGTGTTCCCCAATATGGTGAAGTTAGTGTACAGAATAAAGCCACCCTGCAGAGAAAATCACTAAAAAAAGGCAGCGTACAGGCACTCGTGGAACCCAGTTTCAGGATCCTAGAGTCACCCTTCAGACAAGGACTATCCTTATTCTTCCTGAAGTGTGGTGCCTGGGCCATGCATTACTGTTTTCGCCTTAGGATTCTAACAGTCGGGTTTCATAGCTTGCAATGAAACAATTCCTTCAAATACCACAGGGAAGCAAAACGATGACCTTTCTGCATGGACACGATGGAGGTTGGAAGCAGGTGCACACCCACAGCGCTCCAATGACAAGTCATATGCTGTTCCCACCAAACCACACTTCCCTAGAACTATAGTAACACTATTTTTATTTTTTTTACTATTTGGCTTTCTCAAATAAATTTCAGGGTGTTATACTAAGAGGTGATATCTGCCTACAAAATTTTATTTGTATCTTGATATCGATACACCCATCAAAAAATACTATTCATATGATCATGATGTTACGTTCTAACCCTCAATTGCCAACTTGAAGTTTCCTGCACGCCCTTTTCTTAGCCTGTTTGCATCGCTACAAAGGAATACCTGAGACTGGGAAATATATAAAGACTCATGGTTCTGCAGGCTGTACAGGAAGCATGGTGCTGGTATCTGCTCAGCTCCTGGTGAGGCCTCAAGAAGTTTCTAATCATGGCTGAAGGTGAAGGGGGAGAAGGCACATCACATGGTGAAAGGGGGAGTAGAAAATGCCAGTCTCCTTTAAAGACCAGCTCTAGCATGAAGTAAAAGAGAGAACTTGCTCATTACCATGGGGAAGACACGAAGATGTACATGAGGAATCTGCCCCCATGACCCAAACACCTCCCACCAGGCCTCACTTCTAACCTTGAGAATCACTTTTCAACATAGGATTTGGAGGGGACAGATATCCAAACCATATAAATCCTCTACATATGTGAAGCCATTCATTTTGATCCAAACAAGAGCTGTTTAGCCTCACTGAGGCCAAGTTTAGAGACCCATCCTACCAATTCAATAGAACAGAGACTTCTCAGATATCCTGCAAGTGCAACATGTCCAGAACTGTGTATCCAAAGTAGCTCAGCACCCTCATTTGCAGAAGCTCTGCTAAAATTAATAACCATTCTGGATATATGTACCATAATACCTGTGTCTGTATTCAGACCATGTTTTTTTAGTGACTTATATTTAACGTGCCTAAATAGCAGGCACGTTAAAAGTAGCTTATATTTTAACATTTCTCAAATTAAACTTTCCACATCGTTTTTACTCTGCCTAGAATACTTACTGCAGCACTCTGTTACTGTGCATCAAAGCCCTCTAGCAACACTCCAACTACTACCCAAAGTGGATCTTGACGTCAAACTTCAAGTTCATCACTGTTTTTTTGTTTTTGTTTTTGTTTTTGTTTTTGTTTTTGTTTTGAGATGGAGTTTCACTCTTACCGCCAAGGCTAGAGTGCAATGGTGTGATCTCGGCTCACTGCAACTTCCGCTTCCCAGGTTCAAACCATTCTTCCGCCTCAGACTCCTGAGTAGCTGGGATCACAGGTGCCCGCCATGATGCCCAGCTAATTTTTGTATTTTCAGTAGAGACGGGGTTTCTCCATTTTGGCCAGGCTGATCTCGAACTCCTGACCTCAGGTGATCCCCTCCCAAAGTGCTGGAATTACAGGCATGAGCCACCATGCCCAGCAAGCAGTGTTCTTTTCATTGTTATTTGGTATATGTCATGTTACAATGTTAACGTGTTAACTTTTATGAAAAGCTCCTGTGAAGAAAGTTACCTTCCAATTCTAAGTTCTTTGCAACTAGGAGTATCACCTGGACAACATGATGAGGCAAGAAAGAGCCCAGCTTATAAACAGAAGCAATAAGGTGGCTTCTTCCCCAAGCTCATATTCAAGTAAAGTCCTGGGTTGCTTGAATTTGAGCATTGTTTGTATTTAAATGTGTCAGTAAGTTCCAGTTGTTTTAAAGATGTGTGGCATGGTGATATTAATAATTACTTCATATGTTCTTATGCCAATTCCACACTGCCTCAATTAATGTAGCTTTGTAGTAAATTTTGAAATCAGAAAGCATAATTTCAACATCATTCTCTCTTTTCACGATTGTTTTGGCCATTCTGGGTCTTTTGCATTTCCATAAGAATTTTAATCAGCCTGTCAATTTCTGCAAAGAAGTTTGAAGGGATTTTGATAGAGATTGTGTCGAATCTATAAACCAACCTGGGGAATAGTACTATCTAAATTTTAATTTAACAATATTAAGTTAATAATGTTTTATTGATCATTAATATTTATTCATCAATGGGATCTATTTCAATGACATATTCTATTATCATTAAATCTGTAAGCAGAAATAAACATAGGTAGTTTAGTAATCCACTCAAGGTTATGGAGTCCCTTTGACTATTGTAACTTGTGCTTTGCTGAGAAAGAAATAAGCCTTACTGAGGTTGCATTAAGCTTTTGGTAATTTTAAAAAATCTGTCTACGAGTAGCTTTAAAAAATAGGGTCCTCTCTTAAAAAGAAAAAAACCTCTGGATAAAGTATTGTTCGTATTGATTCCACTCTTCACCAACACCATCAGAGGCTGAGAGCATTTCTCTATTTATACTCCACCATCCTTAGAACATTGGTTTAGGTCCTGTGCTGGCTCTCTGAAGGTTACCAGATAAAAAGAGAAAGGAAAAATGCAAAGGTGGAAGGGGGAATGAAAAAGACAAAAGGCTTTCTTTTCTTTATTTATTTATTTTTTTTTTTGAGACGGAGTCTTGCTCAGTCACCAGGCTGGGGTGCAGTAGCGCGATCTTGGCTCACTGCAACCTCCACCTCCTGGGTTCAAGCTATTCTCCTGCTCCAGCCTCCCCAGTTGCTGGGACTTCAAGTGTGTGCCACCCACACCCAGCTAATGTTTGTATTTTTAGTTGAGATGGGGTTTCACCATGTTGGCCATGATGGTCTCAATTTCTTGACCTTGTGATCCTCCTGCCTCAGCCCCACAAAGTGCTGGGATTACAGGCATGAGCCACCGCGCCCGGCCAAGTCTTTCCTTCTTAATTGATGAACGAAAACCCTCCTGTGAGATTTCTGCTTATATGTCCTTGTCCAGAACTGAGTCATATAGCCACTTCTAACTGCAACGGAGTTTAAAGTTGTAGTTTTTTAGACTTTAGAACTTCAATAGTAGAAAGAGATGGGGAATGAGGTTGTAACTGAAGTTGATTCAGCCAATCCAGAAGGCTTGCTAACCTCGGTCTTCAATGCAGGAGACTGAGTGTCACTGTTTACCTCCCCTTCAAAGATTTTGGTGAAAAAAAAAAAACGTAAAACAGAAAATGTACAAGAAAACATGTAAATCAATAACAGATCTGTAAGAAGAAGAGGGAAAGTTTATTAACATATTTGAAAGAATTGATGGATGACAGGGAGCAGATGAGATTGGCTAAGGCAGAAGTGAGTTGTGAAAACAATAGGCCAACACCAACAAAGAAAAGAACCATTGCAGGGATAGGAGCTGTTCTTCATGAAGCACTCAACAAGCCTTGGAGGAACTCTGAGGAATGGTTAAAAGTGCAAGGAAGGCATGTTGATCAGAGGGTAGCTACAAGGATGATCATGTAAAGGACTATTGGCCATGCAGCTGGGTCAGCCATGCTCCTCCTTACTGTTCATACAGAATGGTGAGATGTAGAGTTTGTCCTCAGACTAAGGCACAGAAAATATCTCTTTAAGCAAAAGAAAATGCCTGTGGGAGAAGGAGGCATTCTGAAAGTGGGGTCTGGGAGTGGGCGATTAAGAAGGACAAAAGAGAAGTACATTCTAAAATTCTGAAATAGTATGAAGTGGGGGAAAAGGAAGACAACCCTGGTTATCAATGAAACACAACGAAATTCTCCATGACGAATGTAAAGGTCTCTTCTAATGAAAGTTATGCACTTCTCCACCTTCCTTTCCCTCTCCTCACCCAAACACCATCAGGGGAAACCTCCCTGTTGAGCCACTCAGACAATGAGCTGCAGTCAGCAGCCAGCTCTCTGTCAAAGGGCATGACTGAAGACAGAATTAGCATTGTGCAAGAAAGAGTCAAAGAAATCTCCCAGAATATAGAAAAATGGGGACCCAAGAAGTGAGATAAAAGTGAGAAGCTGTGGAGAACACATTGAGCAGATCCAGTAACCATTAGCAAAAGTCTTAGTAAAAACAAGGAAAAAAATTGTATATATGTATATATAATATTTTATATATATATATAATGAGGTTATTGAATTGTGGGATGAGAAGTGATAATTGTGACTGAATTAATAATTTGTTGAAGAATTTCTATGAACTGAGTAATAGAACAAATCTTGAGACTAAAGTGGCCCTTTGAGCAACAACAAAAAAAGTAGACACTTACTTAAATGTTTCTTAAGTTTCTGAACTCAAAGGATGTACAAAAAAATCAGAAGTGTTAGCCTCAAATTTGTCCGTTGAAAATATAGATGCTAACAAAAGATATTGACTTCTTTTCTAATTCTGTGGAAAAAAAATATTAGGAGCGAGACATTTGTCCACAAAAATTATCATTTAAGTTGAGGGCAAAGGTATCATTTATCATAAAGCATGAAAGGACTCAAAATTGTTGTCACCAACAAAGCTTTGTTATCAAAAATGCACTGGAGATAAATGAAACAAAAATATACAAGAGAAGAAGAAATGGAATTTAAGAGACATGAGAGACAATAAATAGTCAAATCAATGATTAAATCTTAAAAAGAGTATTTACAATGTAGGTGTGAAGATTACTGAAATTATTCAAATAGGATTGCTTTCTGATGCAAAATATGAATTATCTGTAGCCAGAAACTCATACGTTTAACCAAAACATGATTAATAAAAGTTGCAGTGGAATGATACTCAAATATTGCCTTGTTCAACATAGAGAGTTACATATACTCATTATTTTATTAAGATCTTGAAAAATCTCAAAGTATGTTTGGTTAAGTTCTGTCAGCATTCTAACAATGAAAACAAGATTTAGTTCCTCCAACCACTAGAATAAAATAAAGGAAAAAAAACTCCCTTATTTTTTTTTACCTGACAATTATATGTTTTTATCATATTCCAACTTCTACTCATTTAGTAAAATATTTACTATTAGTATACCATTCCCTATGTGAGGATCTATAAATCATGATAAATAGAAAATAATACAATAAATAGACAAGAATAAATGCAAACATGTAAGTATTCAAAATACTTGTGAATGGTTAAATTTCTACATTAAGAAAAATATAATATTCTCATACTGCATAAAATAAGTCCAGCTATATTCTATTTGTATGATAAAGTATTTAATAGAATATTAAAAGTAAACAAAGGAACAAAGATATCATACAAAAGTTACAAAAAGAGAGGACCTAGTAATAGGAAAATCTGATGGCATACAATTCAAGGTAAACTGTTTCATACAACATAAATATGATAACAGTTTAAGTTATCAAAATGTTGTAATACTTAAGTGAAAATTGGGGACATCAATTCACTATTGACCTTATATTTGTGCAGGGACAGACTCCTGGAAAATTGCAATTGACACCAAGAAATCACATGCTCATTTAGTAAAATATTATGTAAATTTAGTAAAATATACAGTTTTACTATAGTAAATTTAATAAAACACAGAGAGACAGGGTGCATGATGCCTTACCTGAAACTGGATTTTTCCCTTGACTTTTTAAATGTGTGACTCAATAAACAATAAATTGCACACACACTCACACACACACAGTTATTTCCTTTTTACATTATTATTATCTGCAGTACCAAAATTATTTTTAGTTTGCTGAAGTCAGTTTGAGTTGGATGGTCACATAACCAAGTCAGGCCAACGAGAGCCAAAGAGACTCCATGCCAGGACTGGGCATTGTTATTTTGTTAAAGTGGCAACTTTGTTCAGCAGGTTGCTGATAGGATGGGATAGCCTAGAATGACTGAAATCTGCTTGAAAGCATGGAAATCATGGCGTCACAGGAGAAAGTAGCTCCATGGAAGAAGAGACAGTAAATTCTGCTGATATTGAATGCTCCATTGTCTAACTGTGCCTTACAAGTGACTCTTCATGTATGGGCATCTAATGACGCTGCTGTGCCTAAAGCCAGTTTCAGTCCTGCTGTGCCAGGACTCCTTTATTTATTTATTTATTTTTGAGACGGAGTTTCACTCTTGGTTGCCCAGGCTGGAGTGCAGTGGCGTCATCTTGGCTCACTGTAACCTCCACCTCCCGGGTTCAAGCGATTCTCCTGCCTCAGCCTCCTGAGTCGCTGGGATTACAGGCATGCGCCATCACGCTCGGGTAATTTTGTATTTTTAGTAGAGATGGGTTTTCTCTGTATTGGTCAGGCTGATCTCGAACTCCCGACCTCAGGTGATCTGCCCGCCTCGGCCTCCCAAAGTGCTGGGATTACAGGCGTGAGCCACCGCACCCGGCTGGACTCCTCAATTATTGGAGCTGGCAATCAAAAGCATCATTTGTATGAATAATAATAACAATAATAATTGAATCTAGGATGGTACCAAATAGAAGTGAGAGAGAGAAAGCAAGTGAAAGAGTAAAAATGAGTTTTTATTCTTCATTGAAAAATGGCATCAAAAAATGAAGTTAGACAATCATCTAACTCTATTTGGGTCTTCTCTGCATGGCTGATAAATCTTAATTGAACAAATTAGTTTGATATGTCTTTGAACAGAATGTGTGCCCTTTTATCTCTAAATTCCAGTTCAGGTGACCCTGAAAGTGGGTCATGACATTGATCAACGCTTTTATGAATGCTCCCATTCTCACTGATCTGCTTCTGTCTTGGGCTCAGGATAGCCATATCGCAACACAAACGAATTTATTTCCACCTCAAATAAACATTTGGGGGTTATTTCCTTTTATCCCAAATCCAAACACCAATGAATTTTAAAACAATTACGTTAAAAAAATGGAGAATATGTTAATATCATTATCTCAAATATTATTCCTTAAAGTACTTCCTCTCTGGAATAATTACCAGGTACTAAGTACACAAATACCAGGGGAAAAATACACTTTTACGCAGAAATGATGCCGTGAACGGTGCCTTAAACAAGTCATCATATTTAGCATCACCCACGATGAGACAAACTATCATTATATGCTTCCTGATGTGATGCTACAAAAAGTATATAATATCACCTATTTAATGTTTTTGCAATAAAATTATATTTAGTTTGAATTTAATCACTCAGATGAATCAAGAAAGTTCAGAGTGTAGCTCAGGGGATTTTTCTAGATTAAAAGAAACTAAAGAAACTTAAAAACCAAAGGTGATGTATAAATCTTAATTGAATCTGTATTAAAAACATATATCAAAGACATTTTGATAGTTGGAAAAAATTGAGTATCAAATGTATTATTAAGTCAGTATTGAATTATTATTCATTTTCTTAAGTAGAGTAGAAGAATGCTATTATTCTTAAGCACTGAAGAGCTGTATTCTGAGGGAGGCAGCTTAATGCCTGCATCAAGTTTCTAAATATATTTCAGAAAAAGTATATATCTATATTTGTATGTGTGCATCTATGTATTTATGGTTATATATAATGTACGTGTGTGCATGTGTAGGGGGGGCTAGAGAGAATAAAAATGTGGCAAATTGTTAGTGATTTATGAGTTAAGTGAAGGATATATGGGCTTTCATTGTGTTTATAATAATTTTATATGCTTAAAATTATTCA
Source organism: Homo sapiens (assembly GCF_000001405.40). NCBI lineage: Eukaryota > Metazoa > Chordata > Mammalia > Primates > Hominidae > Homo > Homo sapiens. The sequence goes on along the minus strand of NC_000010.11, from coordinate 9,323,382 downwards.
AAAACTCTGTTTAAAGTCTAAGTGAGAAATAAATCTTAACAGTTACAGTAATTAACAGAAGACCAAGAAATGGGAATCTTACAGAAAATAACAGAATGTTAAGAAACAGGAATAGACCTTTTTCAGTGATATAGAATTACCTGACAATAAGAAAGACACCAGCCCAGCCCGTTGTATTGGGATATGGCTGTCCTGAGCCCATGACAGAGGCAGATCAAGTGAGAATGGAACACTCATGAAGATGATGATCAATGTCATGACCCACTTCCAGGATCATCTGAACTAGAATTTAGAGATAAAAGGGCCCACATTCTGTTCAAAGATATTTCAAGCTAATTGGTTAAGTTCACATTTACCAGCCATGCAGAGAAGACCCAAGCTAAACTTGAGGAATATGTTGAGATTTAAGTTTATCTAGAAAGTGATTTAGGAGTGGAGAACTTCATGTAACAACTCCTAATAGACTGGAGCCATGGTCTATCCTCAGCCAGGTGCACATCATGACTAATCCTTGCGAAGTCTCAGCCTCTTCTTCTCTAGCTGCCTAATCTAGGACTTGATAAACAACGTTCTTGGAGGTCTGGCTGTTGAATGCATAACCAAGTATTTCCCTATTTGCCTTTGCTTCCATCTGTTCTTTAAAACATTGGATAATAAATACAACATAATCTTTAAAATTCAATTATTGATTAATACTTCATTATAGACTTCATTATTAAAAATGTGTATTTATTCTGACATCTTTTTCCACAGTTTACTTAAAATTTTTGTCTTACATAAATTCTATTAAAATACTGGCATGCAAAATGTTCTCTGAGCCGCATGATGAGTTATTGTTCAAGACAAGCCCACAGCAAAATCTATGGAAGTCTCATTAAGGAGCTTGTAAATGATGTATTTCTCATTAACTTTGAGACTTAGCTTTTGAACTCACCTTTTCCTTCCTTTAGATAAACAATATTCCAATTCTCCATATTTAATATGTGTTAGTTCTTAAGAGTTTTATCCCTCCCCCATCTCTACTGAAATACTAAACAGGCATGTAAAGTCATTTATTTCATTGATTTAGTCTGAAGTTTTCACAACAAGGAAATACCAATCACAAACAGGAATCCATATCCAGTAATTTAGCAATCAATGCAAGCAGTCAGGGTTTTAAAATAATAAGGTAATAAGAAAAAGAAGGTAAAATCTGAGGTTTGATAATTTTGTTATTTCTTGCTCATTAGAAAGAAGAAAGACAAAAATCATCTCCAATTATTTTCAAGGTTTATTGATGTTTTCCTAGTTGATAGATAAAAAGACACCATGGAAAATAATAAAAACAGGGCTAGATTATTTGGGCTCAAAATTAATTTACAACACTATCTTCTTCATAAACAGCAGGTAATTATATTTTTCCATCTGCACTGCACGTGTGTGCTTACAGCCCATCCAATGTCTTAGAGCAGTCATTACACATGTTACATTGTATTGCAAACAGCAGAGGCCCATTGCTTTAATTTGATAAGATAATATCATTTGAACAAATTCTACATAATTACTAAGGAATCAGACCAAGTTCCCATATTGAAAATTAGAGAAATTAAAATAGATTAAATGAATTGTTATTCTAGGTGGCTACTTCCCAAGTACTGTATAGTCAGAAACACACACTGAGAAAGAACAAACTTTAAAACATTTAAAGACTACTTAATTTATTCACATGTGACAGCAGCATGCTGTAGTTACATGAGGGAGATTGCTTGGTGGGAAACCCCTATTACAGGCCTTTAATATACCACCAGCGGTCCAACACCATCAATGCCACTTTAACACTGACGTTTATATTTATTTTATTATATTGGAACAACTGTGACAACACTGTAAACCTAAATATTCATGTCTCTAAGATCCTCTGAAAACTGTTTTCATTGAATATTAGCTACTTTTCTTCACTGTACCAGGGGAAGAACTACTCCATGTGTATTCTTTCAAACCATGCACTCAGAACCCAGGCCAACATAATAAAATAAAAGAGTCGCTTCTACTGGGGGCCTCTCTTTGTGAAGATTCACTATTTCCAAGTCTGTGCTCCTAGATCTGTGTGGTTCACAGCAGAAAAATAGAATGCTCAGTCACGCTCTACTTGTAGAGGCCAGTGTTATTTTTCTTTGTATTTTATTAATAGCTTGCTTTCTAAGTGACCGAAATCATATATTCTCCAAAGTGCAAAGGGACTTCATTTACAAAATCTTCTAAGTAACTCTTTGCTTTTATTCCATGGGTTCCTGAGCTGAATCATCATCACAAGCATACTTGCTCACAAAGAAGAAAGAAGGAAAGAAGGAAAGAAAAAAGAAAGAAAGAAAGAAAGAAAGAGAAAGAAAGAGAGAGAGGGAGAGAGAGAAAGAAAGAAAGAAAGAAACAAGGAAGGAAGGAAAGAAAGAAAGAAAAAGACAGAGAGAGAAAGAGAGAGAGAAAGAGAGAAAGAAAGAGAGAAAGAAAGAAAGAGAAAAAGAAAGAAAGAAAAAGAAAAAGAAAGAGAGAGTGAGGGAGGGAGGGAGGAAGGGTCCTGTAGTTGCTCTATTTTCTGAGAAATATAGAGAAATGAGGAAATGTACGGGAAATTTTGTGATATTAAGGAACTGTCAGATTATTACCTTTGGGGAATGCTGCTTAATAAGCACATATAACTGCTATCCTATAACAAGCCAACTGTCTTCTTATTTCTTAATAGGATTTCTCTCTGACTTGACAGATGTCTCTGTTGGAATGCAGTGAACAAGGTATACCCAAACACTCCAGTAATACTATTTTTGTTCTCTTGATTATATTCAAGAAGAGATTATATTCTTCCTAATAGAAAAAAAGTGTTTCAGCTGACTACTGTCTGAATATGTCATGTAAAACAAGAAGTCAATGATTATGGGAAGAAAAATATGTCTTCTGTATAAAGCTTTGTTCTTAATGCGAAAAGTCTCTCTCTTTTTATTGAAGAAAGAATAGGACAATAGAACCATCATAGTGTAGATTTCAGATAACTCATCTATTATACTAACTTTCACACAAGGGCATTGTCACACATTCTGAAATACATATTCCACTTCCTCTCCGTGACACACACATAGCCTCTCCCCAGAATGCTTCTGTTCTTAGTCTTTGCCTTGGATTCCACAATGTATCCAAGTTTCCAATATTCTACTTTCAGAACTGTAGCCCTGACTTGCCATCTGGTTCTGGGCTATTATCCATCCATCCCACATTCTGGTCGGGAAAGTGTTTTTGATGTACTCTCATGGGCGCAGGTCTACTCTGAGCATTGATGGTGCGCACAATCGTGTCCCCTGAGGGTCATCCTTCCATCAAGTTGAGTGGTGTTTCTGACTCCAGACCCCCACTTTCATCTGTCCCCACATGCAAGACATCACCTAGCAACATCATTGTTACTTGTAGTTAGCTGGTTTATGTTATTTACATAACAATTCTTTTTGATTCAAAGCCTATTTTGAAGAATGCATTATTTTACTTAGTATGTTTTTTTACACGTATTAAATCTACTTATACACAGATTATTTATGTTTAAACACATAACGTGCTCACGAATTTTGTCAGCTGTGATGTTTTCCTCCATTTATTACCCTGAATTTCTGCATTTCTTCTGGGTTCCAAATTCTCCATTAAAGTTGATCTTAAACTGTATATTTACTAACTCCCTTAGACTAAGCTTTTGATGTAATTTGTTACTGTTTTATGCTGATGTTCACCCTTCTTAATTAAAAATCCAATCTTAGCCAGGCCATAAATATTTAGTGCACTATTAAACAGAATACCTCATTTAAAAAAAAAGCTTTATTGAGTAAAATGTACATGCCATAAACTTTGATCATTATAAATGTACAATCAGTGATTTTTAGTAACCATATAGTGTTGTAGCAATATAACCAAAATCCACTTTTATTATTATTAGAAACCAAGATCTTGCTGACTGATATGCATATTGCTACAGGGTGTCATTGCCTTTAGGCCCCCTAAGCTCACTGAGTAAGTTAATGTATGTGTGTATTTTAATCAGTAGATAGATTAACTATAGATATAGTTATAAATTATTACAGATATAGATAACTAGTTTTCAGCTTATCTGAATCCACTCAAATACCACTATACTGCTTCATGTATAGTACAGTACCTTAGAGGACTCCTAATTTTTCCCTATCATCACTTGTGGTATGTATCTCACACACACACACACACATCCTATGTGTATTATATATATGATGAATATACACATGTATGTGCACATATATTATATATGTGTGTCTATATATGATATATATAGTATATGTGCATGTATGTGTGTATGTATATATTCATTGCTTCTGCTCTTTGTTTCAGCTTCATAACTTTGTTGTTTAAAATCTCATATATGATAACCAATTATTGTCATTATATCTTTCTATTAATAAGATGTTTTGTTAAAATTTCCCACTTGTTGGTGATTTTGTCAATTCTTCCTTGAATTTCTGTCAATTTTAAGTATAGTTATTTGGAGGGTCTCTTAAGAGGTGCATATATTTAGAATAGTTATTTGGTCCTGGAGAACTGATCTTTATTTCAAATTTAGTGACACTTTGTAGCCCTAATAATTATTTTTGATACAAAGTCTATTTTGAAGAATGCATTCTTTTACTTAGTGTATTTCTTTGGCTTGGCAGGGTCTTAAAAATAGCATTTAGTTGAAATTTTAATATCTTTTATTGATATGTAATTTACACAACATAGAGTTTGCTTATTTAAAGTGTACAGTTTAATGATTTTTTATATATATTAGGAGTTTTGCAACCAACTCGATAATATAATTTTAGAACATTTTTTTCATCCCACAAAGAGGCCTAGTTGTCAGCGGCCATTCCTCATTGCCACCACCCTTCTCAAGCTCCTGGTAACAGCAAATCCACTGTCTTTCTTTATAGATTTCCCTATTCCGGACACTTCATATAAATGAAATCATACAGGCTGGGTGTGGTGGCTCACGCCTTAATCCCAACACTTTGGGAGGCCAAGGGGGACGAATTACCTGAGGTCAGGACTTCAAGACCTGGCCCATATGGTGAAACCCCATCTCTACTAAAAATACAAAAATTAGCTGGGCGTGGTGGTGGGCGTTTGTAATCCCAGCTACTTGGGAGGCTGAGGCAGGACAATCGCTTGACCCCGGGAGGCAGAGGTTGCAGTGAGCCAAGATCGCGCCACTACACTCCAGCCTGGGTGACAGAGTGAGACTCCTTCTCAAAAATAATTAAAAAAAAAGAAATCATACAATATTCTGCGGGGTTTTGTAGCCAACTTCTCTCATTTAACACGTTTTTTGTGGTTCATCTTTGTCATAACAGGTGTCATTATTTCATTCCTTTTTGTTGCTAAATAATATTCTATCGTATTTTAATTTTTAAATCCAACTTAAATATTGATTACTATAATTAGCTAGTTTATGCTGTTTCCAGGTGTTAAAATTACTTATATATTTATCCTACCATCTTCTTTTTTTCTATTTTTCCTGTTTTCTCAAGCTTCCTATTTTTTCTTCTCTTTACTTTCTCATGGATTGGATTTTTTTAGTCCATTTATTCTCTCCACTGTTTTGAAGTTATACATGCTACATCTTTTATATTTGAATTTCCCTTAAGTTGTAGCATGTACATTTGTATTAAATGTAATATTACTCATTATCTCTATAATTTTTCAGAAAACTTCAGGAGATTAAACCTTTGTAAAGCCAGTTGCTTCCTTCTAAGTTATATATTATTTAAAAAAATTTAGGTTCTACTTTGTGTTAATTCGTCCATATTTATTCACTTCAAATTAGAAAACATTATTAATGCATAATCAATATTTATTATAGTTTACTTAACTATTTACTATTATCTTTTTTTTTTTAATCATTCCAACTAACATATCAGACTCTTGTTCTGGGATTATTTTCTGCCTTGCCAAATATTCTTTTGAAGTTCCTTTCATGAAGTCCTGTTGATCAGAAAATTTTATTTTTTGTTTAAAATGTTTTTGCCATGACCCTTTTCTTGAATAATAGTTTAGGTAGTTCCCCAATCTATGTTGAAAAAATCTTTTCTTCAGCAATTTAAAAATTACTATTCCTTTGCTTGGTGCAGTTTTATTCAATTCCTACTGAGTAGCACGCCTGTTCTAGATGTTGGGGGTACCAGAGGAGGTAAAATTGCTGAAGTTCATGACTTCTTTCTAGAGTGTTGGGGAAGACAAATAAGACAAATACATAGCTAAAACACAGAGGTCATTAATATCAAAAACAAAAACAAGGTAGCTGTAGATATCTTATGGGATTCATTTTATGTGTCACCCCAGATCTACACACTTGCTATGACTCTGGTTAATGTTATCTTCAAAAGTTTATGTGGTTCTCATGGTCATGGGAGCAGGTCAATGACTATACCTGCAGTAGACCAAGGCTGCCAAGGACCCATATTGCCATTCACAGGCAGACTCAACAGCGTTTGCCTCACCCATGCCATGTGTCACTCTCCTCTTACTTTGACACCCACCGGGTAACCATGCCTGTGTAACCCACACATACAGGGAAGTTAAAATCTTACAGTGCAAAATTTGAGCAATGAGAAGTAAAACCTTGGAGATAAACCTCCCCTTCCTCCCTTCACCCCAGACAGGAGATTCACAGGAGTAGTTTTAGATGGTGTTTCTGAAGATGTCCTGCAACTTCAAGCAGTTGGCTTATTACAAAGAGGTGGCTAGCTCTGTAACATATTCCCATCCATTCTCCTCCTCACACTCCTGCTTCTCTGGAATGGCACAACTCATAAAGTCTTGGCATAAGTGACCTCTGATTCTATTTTGTTAGGACACCTGGAAGAATCATATGGGAACTCACTAATGATGATGTGTTCAGCCATGAATTGAGATGAAGGGTTCTGACAAGATAGCTGAGACAGTTCAAAGCTGGCGACGCAATGATGGTTTTTTGAATGTTGAACATAGTGATGGACTGAAGTAAATAAGGTGACGATGCCACAACTTCTTCTGCATAGCCTTAAGGAAGGGTTCTAGGGGTTCAGAGAAGTGGATTAATTAGGACGGTTGATCGACTAAGCCCTTTGAACACACTATGCAGCTGTGTTTCCTCAGAAGACCCAGGGGACATTCCTTTAACCATCTTTGAGAGCTGACGAATCTCTGTGACTAGAGTTCTTGGTGGAAAATGCTACATGAAACTGGGCTCTATGATCTCAATGAGGATGACAGGATACTAGCATGACAAGGTACCGAATGGCAACAGTGGACTATCAGAGGCAAAGCAGCTGTAAATACCAGGGTAGCTTGAAGATGTGATTGGCAGCCAAGGCATCTTTACCTGCAGAAGATCTGTGGTGATAGCTAATACATCACTGCATTTTTAGGCATGAGACAAATGGACAATAAGCTAGAATGATACTTAATTTGTATATTTTAAAAAATCAAGATCTGGTGAGTAGATGGCTTATATCAGCTGCCACAATAGAATATTGCCATCTTTCTATCAGGATCCACATCTAATTCCACTCACAGATCTGAAGCCCTTTAATTAAAAAGTAGGCCAGTTGCTACCTTGAAGGTCCCTGCAAATACTGTCTTTAAATATCCCTCTGATCTTTCACTAATAGGGTCTGTGTTATTTATAGAATAACCAAGGGAAAATAAGAATTGTCAGACTTCTGAGGAATATTAAATTTGGGAACTGAGCTGGATTGAAAGCAAGGGAACAAACATATCTTTAAGTTTTTTTTTGCAAGAGTGGGGGTAGGTTTAGGGAGGTAATAAGGAGAGTTTAAACCAAAGTCTGTCTCAAAATGGTCCTACAGACCCACCTGTGGCTATAGACCCATCTGTGGCTGCTTCCTTCTGATCCAAATGTTGTGGTTCTCTGACCTACAAGAGCAAGAGCCATTATTTTAATAGGGCCAAGTGGAAGTCCATGAAGAAAAATCTCTCCTAGTCTAGTCAAAGTTGTAAATTAGAAGCAACATTATACCTCAGAAAACCTAAGGATGTTTATGTGGTTTGGCTGTTTCTCCACCCAAATCTCATCTTGAATTGTAGTTCCCATAATCATTATGTGTTGTGGAGGGACCCAGTGGGAGGTAATTGAATCATAGGGGCATTTAGTGATAGTGATAGTGAGTTCTCATGAGACCTGATGGTTTAATAAGGGGCTTTTCCCCTTGGCTTGGCACTTCTCTCTCCTGCCACCATGTGGAAAAGGACGTGTTTGCTTCCCCTTCCACCATGATTTTAAGTTCCCCAAGACCTCCCCAGCCATGCAGAACTGTGAGCCAATTAAACATCTTTCCTTTACAAATTACCCAGTTTCAGGCAGTTCTTTATAGCAGCATGAGAATGGACTAATGTAGATGTGAACAGAGGTCAGCACTACCACAGAAGTATGGATAGATGCTGGGGTGGTGAGCCTCACCATATCCTCATTTAACATACCCCCATGCAGAGCTTAAAAAGAAGCAATTGGAACATGGTAAATGATGGTGAGCTACTGTGAAATAATCCAGATGGTTTCCCTTATTGCACCTGGTTACTATTGCTGATCAATGAGCCCATATCACTTCATGCACTATTGATCTGATGAAAGTTACTTTCACGTGCAGAAAAGATCAAACATTGTACTTTACTGAGCAACATGCATTAACTCTCTTCCCTGAAAACCATTTTAACTCTTGGCCTTTCTGTAATACTGAGATACCAGGAACCTGAGGCAGCTTGACTTTCCTGAGAATATTACACTGGTCTGCTCTGCCCACAACATCATGCAACTGGACTTGGTGAATAGAGAGTGGTGAGGACCCGAGAAGCCTTGGTGTAGCAGGTGCATACCAGGAGGAGGCCTGTCAATTAATGAGGTTCATAAGAGGCCAATGGTTTGGTGTATGCCAGGGTGTCACCTCTAAGGTAAAGGGCAAGTAATAGCAATTCACATCTGCCACTAAGAAAATTACACAGCACTTTGTGAGTCTCTATATATTTTGGAGGTAGGATATACCACAAACAGAATGTGGTTCTGACCCATTCATTTGTTAAGGCTGGCAGGTTTGAGTGGGGTCCAGAGCAAGAGAAGGCTGTGCATCAGTTTCCAGTTTATTTCTTTTTATTGTGAAAGGGATACAAAAGTACAAATAGCCAGCACACAATTTTTGATAAAAAGACAGGTACTGCATTTAAATGAAGAATGAAATATGCAAAGATTTGAGAGCAGGGAAGCCCTGGTGAGAATGTCTGTATAGCTTAGGAGAGATAGGACACAAAATAGTCTACTGTTTAATAAATGAAGGCACAGTAGTTATCTAACCTACTCAGTTTTACGGTATAGCCAATGGAACAATAAGCATTTTAAAACAAGCAGTTTTACTTAGATTTAGATACCCAAGAACAATATTTTTAAGAGAGAGTATTAATATAGTCTATGTTATAGAAAATAAAATATACACACTGATTTGAGATTAATTGGCACACATTGAACATATAGATGCACCCATGGCCCAGAATAGGAAGAAGTGTTTATTCTAAGAAAAGAATTATGTTTAAACTATTTATATAAATGTAAGGGGAAAATCCAAAACTCCCTTTTTTGATAAGGCATATTGCAGATTTTAACAAAGAAGACTGGAAGCATTTGAGGGAACCAAGATTTATTGCTAGAAGTTTCTTTCTTTCTCTCCTAAACTCAGCTATGCCTAACAATTGAAATGCATGGACTCATAGGGAAAGCAAGAAAGAGAGTCAGAAAGGACGATTATTAAGTTTGCACTAAAAAGGAGATCTTTTCAGTGGTGAAGGGTTGCTTGAAAAATAATTCATTGATTTCCTTGGAATAAGATTTTTATAACTTTCTTTATTCCATAGAAGTCAAGGAAAGATATAGTTATAAAAAATCTTCTGCAGGATTGCATTAGTGCCTCTGAACGATTCACATGCAAATTCTTTTAGTTGAACTCAAAAGGAAGCCAGAGACCTTTTCAATCAAGAATACGCTCTTGGTTACATACCGTCAACTCTGCCAAAGCACGAGAAAGAATATTAGGGGAAAAAATGACCCAAGAAGGCCTCTTTTTTATTTTCAAACAAAATTTTTGTCTTGTTAGGAACATTAAAGGAAATATTAAGCTGATAGGAAGTTTTTCATTTAGTTTTTTTTCATTTGTTATCTAAATCCCTTATTTAGTTATTGTAGATTAATCCGTATATTCACAGTGACTGTATTTTTACTTCAATTAACACATTATATTCAAAAGGCAAGCTTCGTTGGAATGTTCTCATCATTACTAGGCAGTTGGCTTAAAATTCATGTAACTGATGCTAGGGACATGGTGCCACTTTAGGAATTTTTAGGAGATGATGGGCCAGATGGTCCTCAAAATATCAATCTATCCATGCTCCCCTTAACATTATAGAATGACTACTTTATTTGCATGAATTTTAAATAAGCAAGATTGTTATAACATAGTTTAGTCAATACGATATGTTTACTCTTAAGAAATTAAAAGATGAAAATGCTAAATACATTGGTTTGTCCTTCACTTTAAGCCTCATCTATATTTCTTCTCTGTTTATGTTGAATTTTCTTTGTTACATTAAAAATCTCTTAAGTGTCTCTAATTCATATGTCAGGGATTCAAGATTCCAAACACATTGCTTAGCTGCAACAGAAACCCATGTCATTGATTGCATTTATCTCACTGCTGCTTGTATAGTGAGTCAATACCATCCTAGCCACCTTCAATGTCTCCCCAGCACCAGCAAGGAGAACCACCTTACCATTTCCAGTGAAGCTATTATATTTTATATCTAGTCACCTCCTTTCCTCTTCCTGTGTTTATACCATGGTAGGTCATCTGTCAGGTGAACAGTTGGGCTTCCTAAGGCTTCTCCTGGGAAGAAATGATTGATATGATGAGTGAGTTGTTAACGTGTCCCCTTTTTCCTTTTCTCTTTGGAATCTGCCCACTCTCAGAAAGCACAGTTGGCGCCACCCTGCTACTCAGCAGTGAGGAGGGAGCAAGTCTTAGGGCTTCTAGCTTGGTTTATGGCTGAATGGGGTAGTCATCGCCTGCTGTGCCACCAGAGCTGGAAGCCCGATTTTGTCATGCAGATAAGCCACATTCTTCTACAGCTTTATTGGTAACAAAGATAACATATTGATGTCCATTTGCCAAACACCCTTGTCCTTCAAAGATGGTTCAAAATGTGAGTGTGAAAAAGATATTTATTATCCTTCTAACATATTAATAGCTAAGGTATTACTACATCTTTTCTCCATGTTTTGCAAACATGTGTATTATATATGTTTAAATCTATATTTATTTCTTTACATATCCATAACCAGTAAAACAGGTGAGATCACATCAATATTCCAATTCCTGTCCAACCTCACAAAATTGAATTTCCCTCTGTTCCATGTTTGCAGCTCCCTCTACTGACAGTAAGAAACCTAACTTCTGTTACCCTTAATGTGTTTATGTGTTTAATTCATCCCACTCAGCATACTTTCTTGAGCTATCAGGATGAAATTTGTCCTACAATCTATTATTTGAAAAAAAAAAAACCCTGCAACCCTGCTTATTAGAAAAGCAGAGTAATTATAGAATGTAAAATTAGTGAAAAAATTTACGAAATTTTGCCTTTATAATGATATTTAAAATAAATAACATCATGCCTCTTTTGCAGGTAAAGAAAATGAAAAACTAGAATATTTAGGCTCAGGGTGGGGTAACTTTAAAAAAGAAGGACTGGTCATGTCTATACAATACAATATCCTTCCTGCCCTAATAAACTAACTCCTAAAATACTATGGTATCTGAGATTATTTTAATTAACTAGTTTTGAAACATAGTACCATTTCTAAAATTCACTGGCTTTTGAGGAAGTGAAAAAAATTAGCAGAAACACAATCCAGATGCTTATGATTATTAAAGAATCATTAACCAGTTTATATTCTTAAGGCAAAAACCATGCTAATTTAAGGAAAGACTGTATATTCAGTAAATATTTACTAAGCACTTCTGTGCAAAGTATCATGCCTTATATTGTAGTAGCTGTATTCCCAAAAGAATGACACTAAGAGATTTTGTTAAAGTTCTTATGCCTTTTCTTGGATCCCTTCTAAATTAAAACAAAGGTCACATGCTTTTTAAAGGCATGAGAAAATGCATACTCCTCTCTTCTGACAGAAGAAACAGAAGCAAATTGACCGCAGAAAATTATTCAAAATCAGTAGTACATTTTTCTATGTACTTTTTTTTTTTTTTTTGAGACAGAGTCTCACTCTGTTGCCCAGGCTGAAGTGCAGTGGCACGATCTTGGCTCACTGCAACCTCCACCTCCCGGGTTCAAGGGATTCTCCTGTCTGAGCCCCCTGGGTAGCTGGGATTACAGGTGTGCACCACCACGCCTAGCTAATTTTTGTATTTTTTATAGAAACAGGGTTTCTCCACGTTGGCCAGGCTGGTCTCAAACTCCTGGCCTCAAGTGATCCGCTTGTCTCAGCCTCCCAAAGTGCTGGGATTATAGACATGAGCCACTGCACCTGGCCTGTACTTTGTTTCATATAATTAAAAGCTTATTTATCCAAATCCTGATTTCTTACCTTGATAATACTGTGTTTTGATGTACATATTTTTGTAGCTAATATACTCACAGTTTCCTCAAATATTTGATTTCGATTTGACAGATTTTAAATACTATTGACTCACAAATACCACTATCAAAAATAGTATATTTTAAAATATAAATGCTAGGATTGTTAATAATTTTGCTGGTTCTTCATCCATGACTTAGAGATTAAAGCACCCATGTGGATCATTTTTCCAGATACATTCACCTGAAGTTAATCAATAGTGGCAACCAAAATTGTATTCAGAACAATTTAATATCACTGCATAAAAGCCAAAGGCAAAGTTCAAGGGTAAATTTAACTTACAACTTTAGTTAATTATCCAATGAATAGAACATTTAATAATCATCTTTCTCTTGATTATTTCCATCCAGGACATGGATATTTAGATGGGATGTCCACCATAATTATTTTTTTGCTGAGCTTCAAGAATATTCTTTTGTTTGTCAGTGATACATAATTAGAGAATATGAGGAATCACGGTTTCATATGTGAGTGTATTTACATACGTACATGTGTGTCTACCTTTGTGTTTCATTTTTATAAATAGCATTATTTCACAATTAAAAGTAATACCATTTTCTGTTTTAACTATCGCTTGTGAGAGGTTTACTTTTTAACTTCATACAAATTGAGTGTAGACAAAAAGAATCAATTGTAACTACATTTGATAAGAATATCTGGGAAAGTTACCTATTTTAATATATTCAACGATAATTTTCTTCGTGACTGAGTGCCTACTATATGGCAGACACTGTGCTAAGCTACAGATAATTGGTTCTTGACGTTAGCTGCACTCTGGAATACCCTAGAGTGAGTTTCAAAAATTCAGGGCATGGGTTTTGTCCTAGTTTCAGGCTGCTCTGGAGGAATAGCCTCAGTCTTTGAAATGTAAAAACTCTTCCCATGATTCTGATGTGCAGTCAAGACTGAGAACCTCTGAAAAGAGAAAGACAGTATTTTCAATAAGAGGAATCATGGTTGGACAGTGACTCAACTGAATTCTCTCTTTAGCTGTCTTCTCTTGCACCCTATATACTTGCAGCTCCATGAATTGAGGGGTTTGGTCTCGTTTCTGACAGTATCTGAGAGTCCAGTCCAATGCCTAGCTGAGTAAGTGCTTAACCAATATTTGTTGACAACAGGAAAATGGTTTCTGAAAGATAACGTAATTTAATCTTGTGTCTTTAACTTTTATAAGTAGATGGCTTTTAAATCTACATCTCTCATATCCTCTTATCAACAATTGGATCTTTAAACTATTCACAATGGTTTTAAGTCTTTTATCCTTAAATATAATGTAGGAACACTAAGGAGAGAACTTATAGGGTAAATTGGAAGGCACAGAAATGCCATCAGGAGGTAAAAACCAAGAAAAAAGTGTTATTGTGTTGATGAGAAATATACTCGTTTATAATGACATACATTGGCTTATTCATATAATTAAACGTACTGGCTTATAATGACAAAACTCTATTTCAATTCATGTACACTCACACTAAGGGTCACAGGTTGCATATTTAACGAATAGCAAACCGAACTAGATCCCAAAATTTTTGGACTCTAAGTCTATTGCTACTACACCATGGCAATGGGAACAGTTTAATATTGTCTATATAACCAAATAATGCTGGGAGCCAAGTGAGATTTCAGTAATCACTAAATATATTGATGAAAAGAAATCAGTTTTGTATTTCATCATTTTGAGCCATAGTTTTGCCTTAATCAGGGATCCACCAATCAGAAGCCTTTAACATATTCTGCTCTTCTAATTTTCCAAATAATTTTGATTGATTAGGAAGTTGAATAGACTGCCTTTCAGGATGTTCACATTCAACCTTAAAGGGTTGAAACATGTCAAAGATGTGACAGTTCACTCCCTTCCCACAAGATTGTGAGGTTTAAACTGTAAATACCTCAAGATTAGAGAACATTAATGTCTTCAAATACTCTTTGAGTTTCCTTTGCAGGTTATGTCTCGACTGCCATGAATGAGACAGTGTGAAGAACAGAAACCAATGCAATGAACAGCCCTGGAAGCCGCCAGCGATGGCTTGTCTGACAACAGAAAGAGGCAGGTTTCTCTCCTGAGCCTTGCACAGACGATGCTGGCCCAAATCCTTCCTGATAAACATCAAATGGAGACAACCAGCTACAAGCAATTCCTCCAACAACAGAATAAATATTGGCACACCAAGAAATAATCTACTGATGGGAATAGAGGCCCTGAAAATCATCCCACAGTGAGTCAATCCCAAGTTCAGCAGCAAATCCTCATTTTGACAGAATCAGGAAGATGTTGAAGTGAGTATATTTCTGGTCAATACAAGAACATTTTTTCTTGGTTTTAACCTCCTCCTGGCAGTTCTGTGCCTTCTCATTTACCCCACCAGAGTTGTTCTTGCTAGACTTTTACTCTGGTATCAGAGTCTATTTAGCCAAGAGACTCACTGGGTATTAGCTAATTGGCCCATGGAGGAGCTTCCATAGTTTCCCTGTCCCCACTCAACATCAACTGCAGAAATTGATTCATAGGGGCCGTGGTCCCCTATTTGTTAGCAATACATGGATGTTTATCTGTTGAAGAAGACATTGTGGTACATTGGAAAGGGATTGGAATAGGAGCAAATAAGCCCCAGCTCCAGTCAGCAGTTTTACTGTGCTATGTGGATAATCATTTTGCTTTGCCAAACTCACAGACATGTTATGTGACTAGAATATGATATCTTGTGTAAGAGTACTTTCAAAATTATACTTACGTGGAAATGAGAACTGATATTAATACGTAATATATCTGTGAAACATTTTATGAGATTTTTCATGTCATTTCTCTTTGAAACAGATGAGTATCATTAGAATTTTTTTGCAATTTCTGAAAGGCAGACCTCTCAAAAAAGTTACACTGATATTTATTCTCGAGTATCGTAGCTTTTTATCCATTTATCCTTTTCTTTTTGTAAGTGTCCCATGATTTGGGGAACTTATTGTAGCAGTCAATGTAATTTACAAATTTAAATTACACTATAGGAGTAACTTAACTTCTTGCCTTGGGCAGCAGTGAAAGATAACTACTTTGTTTCTATTTGCAATAATAACTATTGATTAGATAAATAAATACTTTAATATCTCGGCCAAATCACCAGTGACATTTATGCCAATCCCTCTAATACTAAATCCATAAAATTTGAAAATAGTCTGTTTAATATTAATTTTATAGCCATGAATAAAGTACTCCTTCAATTTCTATGCTTCATGTAGCTTGTGTCTTTAACATCCATGTTTCTTACTCTACAGAGGAGGATACTAAAATTCAGTAATTAAGCCATGCAGCAAGTAAGACGTGGAGCTAGGATAGATACCCAAGCCCATAATTTTTCCAATATCTTATGTTGCCACTTGATTAACAATGCTTCTTAGAAGCATACTAATGGCAATGTCTATGATGGCAGTGACTGTACCTAAAAAATAAGTGTTTTTCCTATCACACGTCATTATGATCAGGTCACATTATATAATAAACATCAGTCATGTAAGGTGATGGAGTTTCTACTCAGAATGTTATTTTGCCACTAGTTAGCGTGTGTCACTAGTTAGATAATGACAAAATAGGGTTCAAAATTTTAAGTAATTTATATGCAGATAGACCAAGGAGAAAAATGTATTAGCAGTAGATTAAGGTTCAGAAACCAATGTTTTCTAATCCCAGATACCCATATGTATGCCTTTGAAAAAGTTATCAGGCAGAATTGAGGTATGGAAAGTAGAAGGCAGTCTGGGACTGCTCAAGGCTCAGTACGGAGCAGTACATGGAGTATCACATCATAGAGATCATTGACCATATAAAACACATATTCTTTCCTCAAAAATTTTAAAAGACACACTCACCAACTTTCTTTTTTTTAAACTTGTATTTTAAGTTCAGGGGTACATGTGCAGATTTGTTACACAGGTAAACTTGTGTCATGGGGGTTTGCTGTACAGATTATTTCATCACCCAGGTATTAAGCCTAGAACCCATTCGTTATTTTTCCTGATCCTCTCCCTCCCTCCTCCCACCTCCACCCTCTGAGAGGCCCCAGTGTGTGACATTCCCCTCTGTGTGTCCATACGTTCTTATCATTTAGCTCCCAGGTATACATGAAAACATGTGGTATTTGGTTTTCTCTTCCTGTGTGAGTTGCTAAGGATGAAGGCCTCAGCTGCATCCATGTCTCTTCAAAGGACATGATCTCATTCTTTTTTATGGCTGCATAGTATCCCATAGTGTATATATACCACATTTTCTTTATCCAGTCTATCATTGATGGACATTTATGTTGATTCTGTGTTGTGAATAGTGCTGCAATTAATATATGTGTATGTGTGTCCTAATAATAGGACGATTTGTATTCCTTTGGGTGTATACCCAATAATGGGATTGCTGGGTCAAATGATATTTATTTCTTTAGGTCTTTGAGGAATCGCCACAATGTTTTCCAAAATGGTTAAACTCATTTTTACTCTCACCAACGGTGTATAAACATTCCTTTTTCTTCACAACCCCACCAGAATCTGTATTTTTTTGACTTGTTAATAGTAGCCATTATGACTGGTGTGAGATGGTATCTCCTTGTGGTTTTGATTTGCATTTCTCTAATGGTCAGTGATGTTGAGCTTTTTTCATATGATCCTTGGCCGCATGCATGTCTTCTTTTGAAACATACTAACCAACTTCCAACTCACTATATGAACCTTGAAATATTTTGCTCAACATGTTTGAGGTTCTCTGTTCTCCTTATAGTTTTTGAAGCACTTCTTTCCTTGTGAGAGACTTCCTCCTGCCACCACCAAATCTGTATCAAAGCCAGAAATCTCTATGGATCTGAGGGCCATTTTTTTCTTTTCAAAATATCAGTAGGTATATCTGAAGTATGAACTCAGACTACTAGAAAGTCAAGTGGTTCTATTGGCAAAACTATGTATCGCTCATGAAACTATATTAACTATGCGTAACTATCTTTTGTGCACCTCATCAAATTCACTGATAATAATCTTTGTCAATGGTCCATATTTTGCTGCATCAAAAAACCCGAACGTCGGGTAAGCATTCGTTGGATTCAGGGTAAATCCACCTTGCCCTTTGATGGCATGTTACGCTGGAATCATCTTTCATTCTTGAATTGTCCATATGGAGAAGCACATTGGCTTTGCCTGTGTTATCTATAAACTGTCAGTTATCTACTATGTATGCTTTCTTTTATTAGTTTTCTTTTTCTTTAAAGTGAATATTTGTTTCTGCACTAGGCATTCAGAGTAAAATCCCTTTTTTCCTTAAGACACTACATAAATCCAGGCTTGCATTTACTATGGCATTGATCAAACTAAATGCCACTTACTAACCAATACAGAAGAAAGTAAAGTCAACAAGTTATATTATATGAGCATTTAAGGGAATTAACCTGAATTGCCAGTAGAGGTCTCTGCTGCTCTATGTAAATATCTTTTAAAGGCAAAGCAAAGGAAAGCAAACAAAACAAAACAAAAAACAAAACCTAACACCCCCCACCAAAAAAAAAAATTTTTTTCGAAGAAATTTGCTGGCTAAATTGTAGTGTGGCACAAAAGGTGCATTAGAAGAGGAAAATATATTTAGAGCTTATGCCATATTTTGGGGGTAAGTGGCTAGGTCTGTTAAGGAATGCACCTCTATGGAAGCAAATCTGGCTACATTTCATAGGGGGACTTGAAGTTAGACTCATGTAGAGAATAGCCTTAGGCAGCCCAGCAGGGATTGAGTACAGCAGGGCAATGGAAGAGCAGAGTGGAAAACGAGTAATATTGAATTAGCCAGAGTCAGGTACAGAAATGCCAGGTGCCAGGTTTGTGTTTAGGTTGGTACAAAAGTAAAGTGCTGCCAACGTTGAAAGTAAGGGCAAAAACTGCAATTACTTTTGCACCAACCAAATATATCTCCAATTACCATACTGGGATACTGCAACAGTAATTCTGTTTCAAGGATTAGCAATGTGAAAAATGCCAGGTGACAGTATTAAACGTATTGGGGTATCAAGATGCATTAATGCACAGATTACTTATATAAGAAAAAATCAGTGACTTAAATATTGCTTTTGTTCTATAAAGATTAGAACATTGTTACAGAAAGAAAAGTAGGCACGCAGTTGTTAGAACCAGGTGTGAAGATCAAAGCAGCCCTGGTAAGTAGTAGTAGTGATCAGAAGCTGAACCACCTGAATAACTTCATTTCCTTACATTCTCTCTTATGGGAATAAGATTAAATTTAGAGCATGTGCCAAGTCTGAATCTGCAGAGGTGAATTGATACACAGGAGTAGGTACCTAGGCAGATTTATTAGCCCATTTTCACACTGTGGTAAAGAACTACCTGAGAATGGGTAACTTACGAAGAAAAAAGGTTTAATTGACTCACAGTTCAGCGTAGCTAGGGAGGCCTAAGAAAACTTCCAATCACTGAGGAAGGCAAAGGGGAAGCAAGGACCTTGTTCACATGGTGGCAGGAGACAGAGTGAGAAAGGAAGGAAGGGAGGGAGGGAGGGAGAGCAGGAAAGGGAGGATGGAGGGAGAGAGAGAGAGAAAGAGAGGAAGTGCCACCCTTTAAAACCATCAGCTGTCCTGAGAACTCATTCACTATCATAAGAACAGCATGGGGAAATGGCCCCCGTGATCCAATTACCTCCCACCATGTCTCTCCCTCAACACATGGGGATTACAGTTTGAGATGAGATTTGAGTGGGGACACAGAGCCCAACCGTATCAGCAGACCACTATAGGCCAAGTTTAAATCTGGGTTTAGTGGTTTTTCTATTATTTTTCTTTAATCTTACCTGTTAAGTGGAATAATCTACCAAATACTTACTAGTAATTACCACATGTGAAAAGGAGGGAGAGGAAGCAGCGTCGGGCAAAGAGAAAAGATGAACTAAGATGCAGACTCAACCAAGCTTTGGGTAACTCAGTGGAGCGTTCTGGAAAGAGCAGTGTCCTTTGGAGTTGTCCTACCACAGGCCAAGATGGCTAAAAGAGCTGGAGCTTTAACCTTCTCCCCAACTTCCTCTATTCGGTCACCATAAGTAGACTGCCCAAAAAAGGCATGATCATAGGAGGACTTTAAGATAGAAAAACTGAAAGACATTCTTCCAAGAGCATCATTATTGTAAGAGGAAAACAGAGGAGAAGACTGCAGGGGATCAGATCACTGAATTTGCCCTCATAGGAGGACATTGAAGACTTCGGTGAAAGCAATTATTCTAGACTGATGGAGCCCAAAATCAGAATACAACAGGTTGTAGAAATAAAATGGAAATTTGGGAAAGAAGAGATACGTTAACAATAGGATGCAATCCTATTGCCACCAAGGACTTGCTAGAGTGTGTGGGTATTTTCCCTTTCTCAATGGGCCAGCCAACATTTCCAAGTGTTCTAATGGAACAATTAATAATCAATGGATCAATTCTTTTAGAGCTGTTTTGTTTTTACTGGTGGAGTGAAGAAGTGGGTATCTTTGAAGAATGAATGGGCAGGCATCAGAAATGATCTGTGTGGTTTCTAACTATATGAAGCCTCAGTAACTCAAGCAAAATCCTTGAATCTTATGTCTTTTTTTAATTATATTTCTCCAGTCTCCACTCAGCTTGAGCCACTTTCCTTGGGAGTCAACTCCAGTGATTTAGAAATGGAAGTCTTTTCTCGGCCTTAGTAAAAGTGGTGATTAGTAAAAGTGGTGAGAGACTGTTGATCACTCCATCTGGGATGTAACGCCCAAGCCGACTAAAGAGATATTCTTAGCATTATACTCTGGAGCCTTGATTTCATTTCCTCATAGATGCATTATGGGGTTTAGACTGTCCGTAGTATAAAATACTCCAGGGTGTACTATGTATCAGGTAGTAAAATGTAATAGAAATATCCTGGTGATGACTCTGAGGTATTCATTCTAGCTGTAAATTCATTCTAGCCTTAAATAATCATTATGTAGCCCCAAGACTATTGTGAAGTCACTTAATCTCTTGGTGGGGGGTGGTCTTAGTTTCCTCATCCGTAACATGATTGGGTTGAAATAGTTCTGTAATATGACGTTCAACTCTAAGACTAAGCTCTTGAACTTGAAGCATATTTCATGTCCTTGGGAGTTAGATAGGATTTTCTGAGCCTTTGAAATTTAACCTCCACATGCAACATTGTTTCTGTGCACACACATTATTTTAAATCTCAAGTAACCAACTTGAAAGTAAACTTTGTGAACCTAACACATTTATATGATAGTTTACTTGTATTTCCACTTTTAGAAACTTTAATTAAATTCATAATCACTTCATCCACAAGATGTCACTGTCGGCCACAATTTATGTTTAATCAACTTGCTTCCTCTTCCCCCAGGGCTTTATGACAAGCATGTGCTATGTAGAGTTAAGCACACAGAGATCCAAAACCTTTGAGATCATTTCTGTGTTAAGTGAAAGTCAATGTATAATGAGCAGATTTCAAAAGTAAATATGTGTATGTCATGATAGTCCTTAAAAAATGCTTTTAACATTATCCACTCATTTTAACATAAAAAAGTTTCTAATACATAATTTTATAAAAGAATCATAAGAATCCTCTAAAACAAAGAAGAATATTTAAGGGTTAAATAATTTTTTTGTCACAAAAATACTATCTTGGAGGGAAATTAGAGTGTTTGGTATGTCTTGTGATTGGTTTGAAAGGACAAGACAAAAAGTTTTGGTTAAATGCGAGTGTACCTTTCTGCAAGACCTGGTATCATCTGGGGTATAGAAATGGCATCAGGCATTTCTATTTATTTATATAAGATGGAGGGTGCTGCAGTCTTGGCCCTTGTTGCAGAACTTTATGCAACACCTGTGCCCGTGTTTACAGGGCCCTTCTCATCATTTAAGCCTCATTAACCACACCAGAACTAAATTGCACCATTTCTTCTGGTTTAGGAACTTGAATGACAGTGGTGAAACGTCACTGGAATTATGCATGTCACTGAGTACCACAAAATGAAAGCTGTGAACACTGAGTTTAGTCACTGATATAATAAAGTATTTCATTGTGTGACAATTTTATCCCTGAAGCATTTCCTTGACATAGCGTTTGAGAACACTGTCAAAAAAAGGATCTTACAATTGCCTTAGATAAACTCAAATCACAATTATCAATATCATCTGACTGCTAGAATAACGCCTTAACACATTAATCTCTATGATTTCTAACTACTGTGATCAGATTCTGTAAAGTATTTTCTAATACTACGTGGAGAATTGGCAACACAAGCATGGCAATCAAGGGAAAATCTATGTTCTCCAATAAAAATGTAGTATTTTGGGAGGCCACTGGATGTCAGACTTCACTCTAAAACTGTTGAATTGGTTCAGTCACATTTATCATTCAATATTTCCCTGAATTTGGAGTTCCTGAAGGTAAGGCATTTTCATATTCTTATTATCTTTTCTATGCCTATTAGTTTCAACTGAGCCTAATTATATTTTTCAATGAATATATAAATTTAAAAAGAACACAGATTTTGTTTTTTAGTTTGATATGCCCTCATAGTTTCTCACTTTCTTTGAGATGATTCTTCTATTAATGTTAAGATTTTGGGCATGGTGGCTCACATCTGTAATTTCGGCTCACACAGTGGCTCACATCTCCCCAGCACTATAGGAGGCCAAGGTGGGAGGATCACTTGAGGCCAGGAGTTCGAGGCTGCAATGAGTTATGAATGCACCTCTGCACTCCAGCCTGAGCAACAGAGTGAGGCCCTGTCTCTAAATTTTATGTGTATATATAATTTCCGCATTAGAGAGAAGGAGTAAAATTAACAAATAACCTCTTCACATTCTGTACAAGTGAAATTTGTTGTTTGGCTTACTGCTGATCTCAACAATAGCGTCACCATAAAGATGAATGAATTTCTCCATTGTTTCAAGCCCTCTCTGCTGTTCACACTCTTTTGGCCTCACAGATTATGTCCGGTAGTTTCTCTTGGCTGAATGCTAGGAAATATGGCAGAAGCGATGAACTAGGTAGGTACAAGAGAACCTAGGTTCAAATACATGCCCTTCCACTTCTTAGCTGAGTAACTTGCGGAATATTGCATATTGTCTCTTGACCTCAATCTTAAATGTTATAAAATTAAAATAATATAGATTCATCTCAGAAGTTTCATTAAGACGGTGTTTTATTATCTCTACTTGATAGCCGGCATGACAGAGTTGGGTTAAATTTCTAGGAACAATCATTTCAGTCTTCCCAACAATTTCAGACTCCCAAATCCAGCCTGGAGAAGCTTTACCCACTGAACCACTGAAAGTGGCTTTTACCAACAGGATGTTTTTGCTCCTCAATAGGGGACAAAGATGGAACTGCATGAGAAGCTGGAAGGAATTCATTTGCTGGACCTAACTCACTCAACCAGATGGAAAGTTGGGCATTAGCACAGTGCCCTGGAGCATGTGTTGGGCATGCAGTTTGTTGCCTCATTGGCCCCAAGTCTTCCTCCTACATGCTTCTGCACATACTGGCTTCATTGTTTCATTGTTCTACCCCACGGGCAATCAGAACATCTTTAGTCAATGTGCTTCCAGGCTAACAGAAGGCAGCAATGTTTTGTATCTGGCTTTTACCAAGCGTCCATCTTTAGTACTGAGTAGGACTTGCATGGAGGCAGTGGATGCATGCTTGTGTTTATCTCAGCCTTTAGCATCAGTCTGGATACAGGTAATATCAGTGGAAAATAGTGGCATCTCTTGCTCACATACACTCAAAGAACTTGGACAGCAACAAACACCGACTTCTGCATTTCTTTAAGTTCCCAAAACTCTTTGGCATAGTTTTCACGTGATTTTTCAGATTTTTTTTGTTTGTTTTTTTGTTTTTGAGACAGAGTTTCACTCTTGTCTCCCAGGCTGGAGTGCAATGGCACGATATCGGCTCACTGCAACCTCCGCCTCCTGGGCTCAAGCGATTATCCTGCCTCAGCCTCCTGAGTAGCTGGGATTACAGGCACCTGCCACCATGCCCGGCTAGTTTTTGTATTTTTAGTAGAGACAGGGTTTCACCTGTCTCTAATAAAGTCATGAACTCCTGACCTTAGGTGATCCGCCCTCCTCGGCCTCCCAAAGTGCTGGGATTACAGGCGTGAGCCGCCGCGCCCAGCCTGATCTTTCAGATCTTGTCATCATCTTATTATCTGAACTTGCTTCAGACATTAGATCAAAATGAATCTTGTGCTACTGCATGGATGACGTGGACAGACGGAACTTTTAGGAAATCATCAGCTGACCAAATCTCACCAATTGATTGTGGGTAAAAGTACGCACAGAGGGACATTTTCTATGTTACCAGATTTTCTTGGCTTGAAGCAGTGAAGGCTCCTCTGTACAGTAAACCTGACTTCTCTTTAGTACTATAGCTTCTCTGGTCCTTCTGATCTCTGCTTACCTAATAGATCTCATTCACCTCTACATCTCTGCTCTACTACTGCTTACTCAGGTGTGTCCAGTAGGTAGGCCACTGATGAATTTGCAGGGTACAAAAAGAGCTTAATGGATGGCTTAAAATATGGCTGTAACTCAAATCATCATGAAAAGGGATGGAGATGTATTTTGTAAACACTGCTGTGCATCAATAATAGTCAATCCAAAAGATATACCGCAAAAAATCTACTTAAGAGACCATGAGTGAGCACGTTATTTGTGAGGAATAATTAACCCTGCGTAGAATCTAAATATAACTTTGCAATATGAGAATATCATAACTTCTTTAGTATATTGCAGCCAAATATTGAGTTGAAGAAATATATTTTAATTGTTAAAGATCACTGTCAGGGACAGTATTTTCTGTCTTACTTGTATCGAATTGTGTTAACATGTAATTTATGGCCAGCCTGGGTTTAATGCAGTAATTTGGATTCACAGTACTAATTTTCATTCATCACAATTCACTTCTTCATTTGTTGGGCTAATGATCCACAAACTAAAAAAAATAATAATAATAATAGAAGAAGAAAAAAAATGTGTGAGGCTGCAGTATCAGGTATCAGAGAAAGAATCGTTTTCCCCCATTATGACTGTTCAAGGCAATGTTTACTCATCTGCTTGGAGGATTGGTCTCTAGGAACCCCTTGTTTTATTCTTTTCTATGTCTGTTTACAAGTGACAGATTCTACCTATGGTATTTTTTATTTGTTTGATGAATGAAATAAAAACCATTGAATTAATTTGCTTGGATAAAGGAGCCCAGGGGTATAATAGGCAAATGTTTCATGTTATTCAGAACTCAAAACAAAAGCTTTATTTTCAGAAATATTTGAGTCTTTATAAAAAGAAAGAATAGAATTACATATAGACACATACACATAAATATATATGTATCTGATTTGCTCAATAGATACATTTAAATTCAGACATAAATAATTATCTAGAAATTATCTGGTATGTATTATTGCTTAAATACAAATCAAATTTCCTTTAAAATAATAACATTACACCTTGGGTTTGTGATAAGTGATCGTCAACCTACTTGCTTACCTCTAGTCCCCAACTCGGGGTAGTTTTTATAATGTCACACAGAGATCATCAATCAAGTTTTTGCTTTTAATTTCCCATGATTATTATTAGTATTATTTTTGGTTGATAGGAGATTTTACTCATCTAAGGATTGCAGGAGCCAGTCCTTTAACAGTTAGAGATGAAATGAGAATCAATTTTGGCCAATAAACAGTGAACGGTGACTCAAGGCATCAGGTTAGAGTTAAATTCAGGGTACTGTAAAATAGTAACCTCATTGAGGATCAAAGTCATGCTTTTTTATCCAGCGCTTCTTTGTGACAAACACATTATG
Organism: Homo sapiens; assembly: GCF_000001405.40. Lineage (NCBI taxonomy): Eukaryota > Metazoa > Chordata > Mammalia > Primates > Hominidae > Homo > Homo sapiens. Next base: position 9,297,831 of record NC_000010.11, on the reverse strand, counting down.
TCAGCTCCACTAGCTCATTTGTCTGCGGCAGTTCCACTTTATCAGGCTGGAGTAAAAAGAATTGATGTGTCTGGATAGATAAAGTAAATGGAAACTCAGGACTCATTCCAATATGCTGTACTTTGATATATTTTGCAAACCTGAGAGCAGCTGGTGTAACACTAGTTACTGTTTGTATTTAAATATTGTACATTAGAAGACCTTTGAAAAGGTGTTTTATAATGTTTCTCTTTTTTTATTTTTTAGCACCTATTGGCTTTCAATTGTTCTTTTTTCTTTTATTTTCTTATTCATAAATATTTTCAGAGCCTGCTCTTTCAGAAACTTTTGTCTCATTTCCAAGTCAGACAAAGCAAGTTAAGATACTTTACAAAGTGCTAATTGAAATATAATTTTAAATTAGAGTGGTTATTTGCCTTTGCCTTATGTCTTCATTCTTTATAAAATTAAACTGGGGCTTTTTTGATTTGGTAAGATTTATTTCCCACCATTTTCTGTTTTCAAACTTTTGTCCTTTCTGGTTATTATTCAACATAACAAATGTATCTTCTTGAATGTTAGATCAAGGCAATATGAAAGTATTTTTATTTTAAATTATGTTTTGAATAAAATAAATGATCTATATCAAAATAAAAATCTTAAACATATAACATGTTTTCATATGTAGATTAATAGAACAAAAAAGCTACCAAAATTACAAATAATAGAACCATAATATATCTCAAATTATTAGACCAAAACAAGTTTTAACATGTAGATACTGACACTAAAATTACTGGTGTTTTTAGAGGTTTAGGTTGCAGACAGCCTTTAGATAATGGTTCAAGGAGAGTAGAAGAGAAAGAATCACTTTTGAATGATGAAAATGAATTCATGAAAATTATACCCATACTTTGTCCTTTCTTTCCTTTAAAACTTCTTTACATACTCAAATGAATTATTGAGAACATTAGTTAGATCACCGAAACCCAAAATGTTCCTGTTTATTTGCATACTTGAATTAATGTATTTTTTCTTCCATTTGGATTTATCTCAATAAATGCTCTTTCATTCTGTACTCTTGCACATATTGAAAATTTTGATTTCAAATTTAGGGCAAGAGTATAATCGTAAAACCTTTCAATAAAGTTGAAATGGTACCAGATATTATGCATATTAAATACATGAGTAGAGAGAGGTGGGAGAAGAAGCCATTGTGATAGGGAGGTATCAGGGTGAATGACTAAAATGACCCACAGATCTTTCTTTTACCAATACATTTAGGAGGAACTCAATCAGCTACTGATGACTCCACTGATTATGGGCTTTCTCAAGCTGCCTTTATGAAGAACAGGAAGACAAGATGGTCGGCTCTTATCCCTGAAGAGGAACTTGATCCTGATGGAAACATCCTAATGGAAAATGTGGGTTGGGATGGGAGCCCGTGATGAAGTGGCAGCTTGGCCTCACCACAAGTCATTCCAGTGACATGCGTCACAGTGCCTTCCAGCTCCAAATTTTCAGAAATAGTTTTGCATATGGAAAAATATGAGGTGACATAAAATGGTAACAAAGGTTCTACATTTCTATTGACTCTTCAACCACATGTCAATTAGGGCCAATATTTAGAACATACTGGATCTTCTGAAAGCGTGAGAAAGGAAGGTGCATTTCCTTGCTCTCCTTGCAAAATATACATAGCTACGCATTTGATTTTTATTGGGAATGTAATCAACAGAATATTTTAATAAAAAATGTGAAAGCAGGCAGAAAATTTTCATATACAACATATATATATAATATATATATGTAGAAAATGTACTTTATTATCAGCCATTTCAATTACCATGGACTCTAAATGTTATGAGTTTAATTAAATAAAGATGAGTTTTAAAAATAAAGAAATGTACACATTCAGCATTTTAAAAACTATACTTCTAAAAACTCTTATTTATAGAGATGTCCCTTAACATGCAAGATATATAATAAGCACTTAGGATAGGCTGGCAATGGCAAAATATATATTAGTCCTAAGTAACTAATACATATGTACCTATACATACTAACTCTCAAATGAAATGATAAAGACTCTAATTGTAGCAACCAAAAGATCTTTCCTTGTTTGAAGATTGATTGAAGAGAATCCTGACTTATGTTTCTGTTTATATGAAAAGTAACAATGAAGAAAGAGAAGCAGAAGAAAAAGTGCATTCAAAATGCTATAGCAATCATGAGGCTCTCACCTTGCAGTTAAAAAAACTCCAGCAAAGTTGAGCTTATTAAGGGACAAAATGGAAAATTTGGTAAGTAATGGAGGTAAAGACGATTGATAACCAAAAGAAAGGGAAAGGGAAGAACAAGGGAGGGGTGTTATTTAGGATATGCGCAGTGTAGACACCATGTAGCTCTGCTTTTAGCAGCTCAAAATGTCATGTCATTGTTCAGTGTGTTCAAAATGCCATATATGCCATATAGTTTGTGCAGTGACATTTTCTAGGTTATATCAGCAGGGAAGAATAGTGTCATGGGCCCTCCAAGGTGTGATCCTATGGAATGCAGGTGCACAAGTTCAGTAATGTCACTGAAACCCTATCCCAAGCAATGAATGTCAGCCAGTCTGTCCTCTGAATACCTCACTTGATACAGTGGAGGTGCAATGGGAAACCCTTCCTGTTTACTGAATGTCCTACTCTGTGATTGGCCAGAGCCATTTCCTTTGCAATATAAGCAGGTTAAGTAATTCTGCATTTGCTAATCTGATCATGGATAACCAGATGGCCTAAAGAGTGCAGAACTTGTTTCAAGCTTACTCAGCATGAAAACCACTGAAGTGGGTGACTTCCAGTTATAGTAGGGTGACTTCAAGTTATAGTAGGGTGACTTCCTGTTATAGTATGAAATTCCTACACTGAGAGTCCTGAGCATGGAGTCCTGGTCTGAACCCTTCCCGAGTTGCTGAGTGACTTTGGGCATGTCATTTAATCTCTAGGAGTCTCAGTTTCCTTACCTGTAAAATGAGAATGATGGGCTCATCTTGACAGTTGGTTTTGGTTCTAAAGTTCTATGAGAATTAAAAAAAGGGACACCTAAATATATATTCTCATGGAGCCTGATTTCTACCAAAAACACCATTGAGAATTCCAAAATCTGCTACTTTTGATGAGAAATAATGAGTGATTTATCTGCCCTTTGGGTTTCAAGGTTTCTAACAACACTTTGAAATGGAAATCCCCAGAGACAGTTTGTAACAGCTGATCTTTGGTACATTCTCTGTGGCATAAATTTTGCATATTTTTGTCATATTTAAATTTTATATGAGCTCAAAAGGAGATAAAAGTTGGCCTGATTTTTTCAGATGACAGGTCTGAAACTCAGAGAATTACAAAGCTAATTCGTGCCGTAACTTGAACAGTTTTCTGGATGCAAGCACATGTGATTTCTACTACAACCACAGCTGCTGGGAAGGGAAGAAAGACATTTGTTGAGTGCCGACAATGTGTCAGGTATAAAGCTGCATCATTTAATGCTCATTCTGAATGTTAGACAGATTATCTCCTCAATATCACAGAGGTTAAATCAGACGTTGGCTAACTACAGCTGAGCAGCAAAATTCAGCCAACCACCTGTTTTTGCAAATTAAGTTTTATTGGCCCTCAGCCATCCTCATTCATTTACATATTGTCTCTGACTGCTTTCACTATGTGGCAGTGGAGTTGAGTATTTGAGACAAGACAGTGCAGCCCCCAAAACCTAAAGTATTTATTTAATCTGGACTTGTACTGAAAAGCTGTTTAATCATGGGTGAAATGAATCCTTTGGAGACAGAAGACATCTTTTCCATTGGAATAAAAAGCACGAATTTGGTAGACTTAATTCCAACCTAAAAATGCTCAGAACAGGAATACCAACTGATTAATTTTTTAAAAGTACAATGAAATAATGTATGATCATTAAATTATATCACTGATTTTCTTTTCTTTTTTATTTTTAATTGAAAGTAAAAATTGTATATATGGTGTACAACATGTTCTAACAGATACATACATTGTGGAATGGCTAAATCAAGCCATGTAACATATGCTTTACCTGGCATAAGTATTATTTGTTTGTGATGAGAATGTTTAAAATCTAATCTCTTAGCAATTTTCAAGTATACAATATATTTTTATTAGCTGTAATCACCATGTTGTACAATAGATCTCTTGAACTTCTTCCTCCTGTCTAACTAAAACATTGTACCCTTTGACTCACATCTCTCCAGTCTCCCTGCCCCTCTCCCCACAGACCCTGGTAACTATCATTTTACTCTCTGCTTCGATGAGTTCAACTTTCTTATTTTTTTTGAGACAGAGTCCTGCTCTGTCACCCAGGCTGGAGTGCAGTGGCACAATCTTGGCTCACTGCAACCTCCGCCTGCTGGGTTCAATCGATTCTCCTGCCTCAGCCTCCTGAGTAGCTGGGACTACAGGTGTGTGCCACCACGCGTGGCTAATTTTTTGTATTTTTAGTAGAGACGGGGTTTCACCATATTGGCCAGGCTGGTCTCGAACTTCTGACCTCGTGATGTGCCTGCCTCGGCCTCACAAAGTGCTGGGATTACAGGCATGAGCCACCATACCGGTCAAGTTCAACTTTCTAAAATTCCACATATAAGTGAGATTATACAATATTTGTCCTTGTGTGTCTTGCTTTTTCATTGAACATATTATCTTCCAGGTTCATTCATGTTACAAATGATAGAATTTCCTTCTTTTTAAGGATAAATAGTATTCCATTATATATGTACGTACTACATTTTCTTTCTCCATTTATTCATTGATGGACATTTAGGTCGATTCAATATCTTGTCTGATCTGAATAATGCTGCGATGAATGTGGAAATGCAGATATCTCTTTGACATACAAAAAACCACTGATCTCCTTGGATAGCTCAAAAACTGACTGAAGACAATTCAAGAAAAGAGTTCTAAAAATATTTTGAGCAGGCCAGGCGAGGTGGCTCACATCTGTAATCCCAGCACTTTGGGAGGCTGAGGCAGGTGGATCACGAGGTCAGTAGTTCGAGACTAGCCTTACCAGCATGGTAAAACCCCATCTCTACTAAAAATACAAAAAAAATTAGCTGGGCGTGGTGGTGGGTGCCTGTAATCCCAGCTACTTGGGAGGCTGAGGCAGGAGAATCGCTTGAAACCAGAAGGTGGAGGTTATACTGAGCCGAGATTGTGCCACTGTACTCTAGCCTGGGCGATAAGAGCAAAACTGTCTCAAAAAATATATATATATATACATATGTATATATATATATTTTTTGAGCAATGGCAGCATTAATGAAATAACTGAGTCAGTTACTAATTTTTTAATATTTATTGTAAGTATATATTTTTATTATTTAGTTATAATAAAATAAATATGTTAACTTCAAAGGAAAATTTACATTTATTTGTATTATGTTTGGTAGTTTATACTTGCTCCATCCAAGTTTATGAAGTTTGTTTCATCTTCATGTGGGACTCTGAGGCCCAGCTGTTATGAGATCTTCTACATTATTTCTAAATGTTCACTTCTCAAAGCCGACTTAATAACAGCTAGCAATTTTGTGGCACACACCGTGTCGTAGGCACTGTTCCAAGGGACTCGCATAGAATTCATTCATCCCTTACAATCACCTTTGTATCGTTAGTTACTATTGTCATTCCCATTTTAACGATCAGGAGACTGAGCACAGAGAAGTTAACAAGCAGGTCACTCCATCAGCAGTGGCTTGGTAGGACCTGAACCCAAGCATTTCTGGTTCAGAGACTGTTTTCTTGGTCATCATGGAATGTCCATTTCTGCAACTGTCCTGATTTCCTTATTTCATACAACTGCCCTGTTTGTAAGGTGACTAGAACAAACAGATTTACTATCCCCTGACCAACAGAAGGTCCAGATGACTTTACCTGTACCATAGCCAGAAAGTTGCATCTCTAGGACTGGAGCCAAAGCCATCTTTTTTTTTTCTTTTTTCTAAAAACATGTTCTTATTCCATAAAGTCACCACTGGACTTCCTCCTAGGAGATAATAAAACAAGTACCTTCTTCTTGAGATGATAATGCTTTATAAATTGTTAACACTTTTTCAAATAATTCCATTTTATTGTGTGGTACCTAGGGAATAAATACCTAACTCATAGAAGTAAATCTCTAATAGAGTTACAGTGGTAACCATGTTGCATTGTTGGGGGGGCAAAGTTTTTGGTAGAAGAGAATTTGAGACCCCTCAAGTCAACATATGTGGTTCTGTGGATTTCCTAGTGAAAATTAGAAAATAGCTATAGATACATCTGCTAGCATCACCTCAAGCACCTTCAGAATTTGTGGAGTCATCTGTTTAGCATCCTGAGAGGGTACTGACATCCAACAGCTCAAGTGAGTCCCCAGATTGTATGAGCCCCTAATTAACTGAGGGAGTATACAAAGTTACTGAAGAACTCAATTGCTTAAAGGCACCAGTGGTGAATACAAGCTGACATCTACAGAAGCTGTCTGTGACTAACCAAAGGACTTTATCAGTGGCTTGCTATCACAATTTAGCAACATAGGCATTGCATTAAGACCTAAATGATGTAATAATTATGTCCAGCAATGAAATATAAGGCAAGGAGCCATATTGTGAAAGAGAAGGAGAAATTTCGTTTCTTTTACACCTTGAACTAACTTTTAAAATAGGTGTCATTTATATCTAGCCCCAGATAGATTCAGAACAAATAGGAATATGGTTAAAGCAATTTTTCTTTTTGACCAAAACCAACTAAAAAGTGAAGAATGGAATATAAATGGGAGCGCCTTGTTTGGCCATGTATAGATTTTTGACCTGTGTTTGAAACCCAGTTTGGCAAATTCCAGCCAATTCTAAATACCCTGAATAATCAGTCATTTCTGTTGACAAAGGTGTCTATGATGAGAAGCTAGGAGGGCAACCAATGTAGACAGTGCCATAAGACCTTTTATGGTAACAAATGGGGGAAAAAAATAGACCATACCGAGATACTGATGCTGTATGGCCTCCTTTTTCATTGAGGAAAGAAAAGCCAAATTTATGCCCAGTTTCAAGTAAAAAATATGTTTCCGGTTTTGGAAAGAGAGTGTTGGGTTTGGCCACATACGAAAAAAAGTCAAGGAAGAAATCACCTGCAGGAGCTATTTTGAATAATGTCAATTACATTGTGGCTTCCATTATCACTGCACACCAGAAAGAGGTCTTTGCCAAGTCATTGACCTCCATAGACCATAACGCTAGGATCCTGACCTTTTAGAAGAAAAATAATTATTCTCTCAAACTGCCATCAATTATCAATGCCTACATGAGAGATATTTTTCAAATTATTTTGTTTCTAAACATGAAGATTATATCTTGACTCAACATACACATTCATACATAAAAATGTTTTATAAAGCAAGACTTATACCTTTGTTGAGTAGTGTAGTTTGATATTGGTCATTTCATTTCATTTTATTCTAATATATTGTCTTTCATTGCAAAACCTAGTTTTTACCTACACAATTGATTTAACCGCTCTGTTGATTCTCAATCATAGTTTGAAAAACAGCAGACCAAGGCATATCTTCTCAAGCTTGCAAATGCATTTTCAGATATAGAAATTGAATGATTCAAATACTAATGCAAAAGGCCAAGTTTGCCTTTAAAAAATAATCATTTAGTTGAGATTCCTTGAAGTACCCAATTCCATTTTCATCACCTCCCTCTGAAAAGGTATTTTTAAATGAGCTATATGCAATGAGTTAGTTATGTAAATAAATAGTGGTCTAGAAAATATTGCACCATTTCTAGTGGTCTAGAAAATATTGCGCCATTAAAGAATTACAAATACCAGAGGAACTTCCTGAATGTTTAGATCCTGAAAAACTGTTTTTTTTTTAATCAGACTTGTCATAGGAGAAGTATAGGATTCAAATCAAAAGAAAGAAAGAGAGACAGAGAGAGAGAGACTTAAGGGACCTCATATAATATCCTCAAGGTTTTACCCCAAGCACAGTATTATGAGCAGCGAGCACAATGATTTGCCCACAGTAAATTTTCAACCATTGAGCATGCATTCACTCATTCATTCATTCATTCAACAAAGATTTTTTTGAATGCATAATCCTGTTAGCAATGTTTAAGGCACTGAGACTATCATTGCTAACAAGACAGACAAGGTTTCTGCCCCTCAGCACTTAGACATTTATACATGGGTGTCTAATAAGTAATATGAATAAATGAATTAATAAATTGTGGGCCTCTTTAGAACAACTTCCTTTGGTTTTGGATTTAGACTAACCTAGATCCAAAGCCCCTCTCACAAGCTATTTGGAAAATCAACATGCATATGATTTACTGACACACATTTGTCACTCATTAAGTGTGAATTCCCCTCTCATTCTAAGAGGGCAAGAAATGCTCTCTTAGCTCTTCTGGACGTATAAAATGTAACAATTTGATTGTTAGCTTTGTAAACTAAAAAGATAAGTGTAGTTAGAATACTAATTTCTATAAACAAGATGATGGGAACTTTACTGAATCAATGAAAAAGAAATTAGGTTTTAAATTTTTTCGTGTAACTTTCTAAATATGTTGTTTCCACATTTGTAATTTTTAATTATTAATAATTTAGGCTAATCATACTTAAAATTAAGTTGCATAATTTATTAACTTGATGATTGATCTCTTGACAATACAAATATATCTGAGGTATGTAATGCTTAAATATATAGCATATAATTAACTATTGAAATATTTTGATGAGGCCAATGTGCTACTCTTCCATAATTTTGCCTCTGTAATACTTACAAAATATTGATGGATAATGCCTTCAGTTACATTCTAATATTGGCAAAGGAATGTACTTGATTTTTTTTCTCACAAACACCTCTGCCTTGGTTGAAAGAAGCAGTAACACTTTGAAGAAGAGACCTTCCCTTCAGTGATTTGGTTGTATGGTCAAAGTAAGAGAAACTCTCAATTGTCCATCAAAATACACTCTCCTTTCTTTGGGGATATATGCTTTTTGCATTTTCTTTCTTTTTTTTTAAAGTTGGGGAGGTTGTTGCTTTTGAGGGGAGCTACACTTTTTTTTTTTTTTTTTCCTTTGTGTGGAGAATAGGGTCATGCTATATTGCCCAGGCAAGTCTCAAACTCCTGGACTCAAGCTATTCTCCCGCCTCTGCCTCCCTAAGAGCTGGGATTACAGACGTGAGCCACCACACCTGGTGGTTTTTGCATTTTCTATCCTCACTTGCAGTTAAGTGTGGTTATGTGATTCAGTTCTTGACAATAAAATTTGAAGGCAAAGGACTTGTACCATTTCCAGCCCAGGGCTTTAGGAAAAGCTATACCTTCCACTAGCTGGAATCTATATGCTACAGCAAGTCAGACTGACCTGGCGGACAACAGCAATGAACCACTGAATTATGGAGCAAAACATGTCAGGTCCCCTAGGTTCAATTCGATAATTTTTTATAGTAGCTACTGTAAGTCAGGGACTGTCTAGAAGCTCAGAATACATCAACACACAAAACAGATGCAGATCCTTCCCTTACTTTTATTCCAATGGGAAAATACAGAGAGTAAATAGGATAATCAATGAGTAAATTACAACATCTGTTATAAAAATAAAAGTGCTATGAGAAGAATTAAGTAAGTGTTTTGGGAAGGAGAAGCATTAGTGGGACTGGGGTGCCTCCATAGGGAAGACGCCATTTCAGCAAAGTCTTTTTGAACCAATCAGAATAGACACCAGACACTAAACAACAAATGTGCGCTCCTGGCTGGAGATCAGCCCTACACGTTTTGTGAACTCCCCGTGCTTTTTCTTGCCAATGTCCATGCCTTTCTCTTTGTCTAGGATTACATCCTTCTGACTCTACATATCTAAACCCGACAGGTGATTTCTTCCTTGACTTTCTTTTTTTTTGTATGTGACCAAACCCAACACTCTCTTTGCAAAACCAAAAATATATTTCTACTTGAAACTGGGCATTAATTTGGCTTTTCTTTCCTCAATGAAAGAAGAGGACAGGCAGCATTAGTATCTAGGTGTGGTCTATTTTTTTCCCATTTGTTACATCGAAATGTTTTATGGCACCTTAGCTTAAATGCAAGTTCTTTGGAGAATCGGCCTGCGCACCTTAGCTTAAATGCAAGTAGTTCCTTGGAGAATTGGCCTATGGCTTCATAGCACTGCCTCCCAAACCAGGTTGAGTTTCCTTCTACATACAGTTGTGGCTGCCTAAATTTCTGCTTTGTAATACTTAGAATTACTAGCTCAATGTCATTCTTTTCTGATAGACTGTAAGCTTCTTGAAGGCAGGTGCTATTTCTTCCTTGTTCACTGGTTGTCTGTTTTATCTCTAATGTGGAGAACTGAATAGACCAGACAAGAATGGTCAAGAAACACTTCTCAAATGAATGAATGAATGACTAAGCAATGATGTCCCATTATCAGAGAGGAAATATTCCACGATGTTGACACGTGATTTCTAAGAAACTGAGCTTATTTTTGCTTACATAAAGGCAACAAATATACTTAAGTTGAAACAGCATTTAACAACTGTTATTTGTGAGCATTGTGTGAGGTGTTGAGAAAAATACAATAATGATTAAGATATAAACCCTTCTTTACAGAAACACTGATTTGTGTATTTTTGAGCTTTCATGGCACTTGGGCTTGACTTAATCAAGAATGTATACACACTAAAAAATGTGTATTACAAAATTTATACCAGTACACACCTCGTAAAATTAAAAATAAAAATATTTCAATGGATATTTAGAGTTTATTATCTTGTTTTTTAAGAATCAATATATCTCAGTCAAACCTCAGTAACTTGGATTGAATTTTCCAGTTGTATTTGGTTTTCAGACATCCATCTTGTTAACGCAAACTGAAAATGGCTTACTTTTAATACTACCATAGATATGCAGGTAACAGAGAATAAGGCAGCCTAATGTGATAGAATAAAGCACAGAGCAAAACCTAAATGGCCTCCTAGAAAAATCTTTACTTCTCTGATGTTACTTTTCATATCTGTACAATTATTAGGTGTGAATGGATGTGCTTCAAGGCCTCACAAGAGTCTCCTTTCCAATGAACCTTCGTGCTCAGTGTGCAGAGAACTTGAGTGCGTAGTAATTCTTGCAGCAGGTCCTAGATTTTTGACCCAAAGCTAGGCTATACATTGGAGAATGCACGGTGTTGTATTTCAGCCGGAAATCCAGGCTCCTGATGTGTTAGAAAGACAAATTTACGAACAAGAATCAGAACATTTCTGTGCCTTCTAGAAAGATAGATGAAACCAAGATTCTATTTGTAATTAAATTCAGCATCTCCTTTAGCTACAGATTTATGTACATACATTACTGAATTAGGTCATTTCCTAATTTTAGAGAACTTTTGCTCATGCTTAATACTTAGGCCTCCTCATTTGTAATTACCATTCCCACAATGTTGGTCACAAACCTCAAAAGAAGAATGAATTAAAATTAGATGCCCCAAACAGTGTTTTTATTTTTAGCTTGAAAGACACTTGAACCCCTAACACTGTAAAGCGTAAGGAAAATTGCTACTCATTCAGAGTTTTGTTTTGTTGTGAGTAAGGTTTGGGATTTGTGTTTGCTCATTCTCTCCACAGCCTCTCCTCCAGGTGTTTTGTCTTGTTTTGTTTTGTCCTGCATCTGTTTTACAGTTTGTTGCTCTGGCGATAAATTTTAATTTATATTTATTTTTATTTCGGGTATTTATTCTATTTGTGCTCACTGACTTACAGGCCAGGATGGTGATTGTTATACAGTAGTTTACTTTTAAAAGAAATAGGGCTGCTCAAGCAGCTAATACGGGAAGATGTATCACCAGCCTGAATAATTGTGACAACCATAGACCGTATCAGGGCCTGTTTGTTTGCACAATACCCTCCTGCATTAAGAAAGCCGTCCCAGCTGTCTTGGGCTCCGGAGTCACCCATTTCATCGCTTGACACTGCGGCAGATGTTATGGATTGATAACAGACTTCACTTCATTCACTCCACATCTAAGATTACCTCTGGAAAAAAAAAACTAATACATTATAACCCTCCCAGCCATTTGTTAAAAAAAAAAAAACAGCAATTTATTTCCCTTTTTAGCATTAAATGGTGTGTGTGTGTTTTTTCTCCTTCTTTGAATGCACGTACTATTTAAAAATAGCCATTTAAGACATTCATTGCATGGCTTTCTGTAGGCAAGAAAATCAGTGAAAGACAAGAAGGTAATGATTTAATTGAATTAGGACCAGATCAGATTTTAGGGTGATGACTCACATTCTCATTATATCTGAAAGATGCTGTCTGCCTTTAATGATAGAGAGATGCACTGTATCCATAAATTTGTCAGAAATAAGGTCTTCTTCATTTCTGAAGAATTGGAAAAGAAGAGCTCAGTCTGGGATTTAAGAGAAGGTATAAAATCTGTATTAAGTTGAACAGATTTCTTAGCTAAACAGCAGATTCTCCTCTTTACTTTTGGAAATTCAAGGATCCCCATAAATGTAGCACAAATAGGATTGACCATTGCTTAAATATCATGCAATGAAACAGTCTCAAAAGTGGGCATACAAATAGATTTTATGGGAAAATGTGGATAAAATGGAAAAAAATGCACAATGGGCCTGTTTCTTATACGTGAAATGCTTTGTTTACAAACAGCATGGTTTTATTGTTCAGGTTGTAGAATAGCATGAGATCTGAAGTGCATTTCAAAATTAAGTGTGGCGAGGGAAGGTATGTAGATCAACAGCACCCCATTTAATCTCAAATCAAACTAGATGCAGAAGCTTCAAACTTGCCTTCTACATTCGGGCATTTCCACCATTTTTTACATCTCTTTCTATCTTAAACCCAGCCCTTCAGGGACAAGTGTTCAGTCTGTGAATACAGTATGTATGCAGGCACCTTCACCTAGAGGCAAGGTCACCAAAGCTGGCAGCAATGTTCAGAGTGTCAGGTCCAGGGTAGAAAGAAAGGAGGTGGAGAATAAACAATATGTGACAAGATCATTTTTATTCAAATGATGAATTACTTTCCTTTACAGGTGTGTAATGTCTTAAAGTTCACAGCATTCTTCTGCATTGATGTTGCCATTTTTATTTGCATCCTTTCTTGTGCTAGAATGGTCCACACAGGAAAGATAGTCTTCCCCTAGTTTACAATGGGTTAATTGAGTATCAGAGAAATAAGCAGACCAACTACCAGTTTTAAACTAGATCTTGTACTGCCTTATGAAGCCTTTCTTCTACTCTGTGTTATGGACTCCAAATGAGAGTGACAGACTTCATTTCGACAAAACTGTGTTCACCCCATTTTCCATTCTGTGAAGTCTGGTTTAAGAAGCAAAGGAATGGTTGCTCTCATAGCTCTGTCTTTCTTTTCCTTTTCCTCCCTTTTCTCACAGAGGCCCAGAGAAAACCATTGTTCCAGCAGTACTTCATAGGCCAGGGCAGAAGACAGAGAGAAGGGACACCCACAAGTCCAGTCAGGGATTACAATGACATCCATGGACCACCTCAATCTAAGCCAATTACAGATAATTCGGTGGTGGCAGCTGAGTTTTGAATATAAAACATTGCAACATTAACTAGAGGAGACTATGGCCCTGGAGTCTGAAAATGTGTGGGAAAGGTGAGTTATTTATTTATCTTATTTATATCGAGTTTTGGATGCTAGTTTAGTACCTTGTGTGGATGGGTCTGGGAGAGGCATTATTGTGGTTATGCTGATCATTATAGCTCTAGATCATCAAAACAGCCAACTCGTTTTAAATCTAGAACTGCAAGCTGGGCACAGGATTACAACTGTAATCCCAGTTACTTGGGATGTTGAGGTAGAAGGATGGCTTGAGGCCAGGAGTCCAAGTCCAGCCTGGGCAACATACTAAGACCCCATCTCTTAAAAGAATTCCAGAAATACACAGCCAAGCATTCTGGGGACTATTGCAAGATTCAAGTACCACTATCAAGAAGAGTTGACCGCTGATGTGGAAATCCAGCAGGTTAAGTATAGGAAATCCAGCAGGTAAGTGTATCTCCAGAGGAGATAGTGGTCACAGCCTTGATGACAGTAGGCACTGATGTCCGAGGAGGAGGAAAGTAGGAAATAGGAAGACTGGGGCAACAAATGGTTCTCTTAAGAACAGCATAGGTGAAGTACAAGGGACAGGATTCTTCCCAGCTGCCATACTGAAAGAACTAGAAAGAACCCCACAAAATTTCAGGTCTTCCATCAAGCCAGGTTAGGCTTTGCACAGTTTTCAGGTTTAGTGAGGGGCTATCAGGCCAGGTGGGAAAATAGATTCATTCAAGAAAGATTCAGTGTTGTGGTCAATATAGGAAAATGGTGACTTGTAAGGACATTGCCAGGATTAGCCCTGTTTCAGGGAACCAGATTTACTAGGACCCACAGGTGGTGGGAATAGGCATTGCTATGTGCTCCCTGTTGTGATAAGGCTATTCTAGAAATTCAGAAAGGTTGAAAAGGAAAGTGGCAGGGATCAAACTGATTGTTGCTCTGCAAACATAAAAGGAGTTCTTTGGGCCGGGCACGGTGGCTCACGCCTGTAATCTCAGCACTTTGGGAGGCCAAGGTGGGTAGATCACAAGGTCAGGAGTTCAAGACCAGCCTGGCCAAGATGGTTAAACCCCATCTCCACTAAAAATACAAAAAAAAAAATTAGCCAGGCATGGTGGTGGGGGACTGAAATTCCAGCTACTTGGGAGGCTGAGGCAGAGAATTGCTTGAACCTGGGAGGCGGAGGTTGCAGTGAGCTGAGATCATGCCACTGCACTCCAGCCTGGGTGACAGAGCGAGACTCCGTCTCAAAAAAAAAAAAAAAAAAAAAAAAAAGGAGTTCTTTGTTTCTGCATCAGAAGCCAGAAAATACTTATTTCCATATTTCTTCACTTGTATACCACCTATACTTTAACATTTTAACATCTTTGAAATCAGGGCCCATCTTAGTGTTGTCTCACAGTTTAATTGACAGTAATTTTTCTTGCTTAGTAACACCATATAATGGTACTTCTTGCAATAAAATATGTCTAACAGTTGATCAAGTGTCAGACATCTGCTATGATGTAAATAATCAAACCAAACCAACTAAAACCAAACAAAAACAAGTTGAATGAGATATCTGCATCCAGTGAAAAAGAATCCAAAATTTCTTATGACAGAGGGACCGAAAGAAGGACTCTAGGAAACCCTGAGATGAAGATAAAACATTTTTTTTAAAAAAAGGATTTTGCTGAGAGACTAATACATTATTTGATTAAAATGAATTCTTACAAATTGTTTATCAATTTATAATTTATACCTATAAGATCAGCAGCAGTAAAGAGCATGTTTTATTTTAATTTCAATTAATAGAGCAAAGAAAGGATGCAAATTGGAGCATGAGATTAGACTACAGGCCTAGCGTGCAGGATGTTTGTGGGAGAAGTTTCTCACTCCATTAAATTATAAAGATGGAAGAATACTCAAGAGACCCCATGAGATGGAATCTGTTTGAACATACGCTGGGAGATTTCAATCATAAACGGGAATCTCACAATGAAAACTTTTCTTTTTAAAAATCCAGTTTAGATTGCATTTTCCACTTTACAAAATGTGTATTGTTGAAAAGTCCTATTCTACATTGATAAAATGTTTTTAAGAATGAGAGATTTAATAAGCCCTGGGCAAACTACTTTTATGAAATGAGCAAATATTCTCCATTTATCTAGCCTATAAATTTGAATTGTCAGGTTAATATACACCTACACTTAATATAGTAATGATCATGATGATATAAAACCACCAATTAGCTCTAGATCTGTGATCAGTCTTGTACATAACATAGTCAAAGATAAAACACTCTTGGCCTTAAGGAGCTTGCATTATAAGTCAGAGATAAAATATAAAGAGAGTTTGTATTCATAGGAGACCAGATCTGGAAAGGCCTAGAGATGGGAATGAAAATGCCTTCTGAGTTGGCATGAGAGGAAGGCCATAGTATTATTTAGTGATATTTTCCTTTTGTGTCATGAAAACAGACTGTCATTTAGCCTTCCCAACTAAGATCTCAGGTTTTGCGTGATCTTCCTAGGAACACTGTGACCTTTTCAACTGGCCTCTTGGCGAATCATCCTGGGCAGCAAGATGGCTTCCCTCTCTGGGATTTGATGGCTACCTACAGAATCTCTGGTGTCCTTAGGTAAAGGCCTCATGTGTCCAGTAGTTGTGTCCTGTCCTGGGGGTGATTCTAGGATCACTTTAATCTCCATGGAACTACAGAAAAACTAGAGTGGTAAACTGACCTCTACCTTTAAAATTAAAAAAAAAAAAAAAAAGCAGAAGGCACAGGCTTGATCTAGGATAAACTGGGAACTTCATTCCAACAGCAGAAATGTTTCACCAGGAAGTGCTTCATCGGTCTACAGAGAACAGAACTGTTAGCTTTCTACCACTCCACAAGGGTCCACTTCCTGGAAACACAAGCAACCTGATGTCTGTGGGTGGTGGAGGAGCAGAAAACAGTGAATAGACAAAGGAAAACAGCAACATACTTAAGGGTCTCTGTCACCTGGGGCAGCTGGTAGATCCAACAGAAGGAGAATGAATTGAAGAGTCAGATACTTTTGACCAAGAAAACCGGAAATGAGACAGCTCGAGTGGATAGACTTAGATCACATGCAAAAACAAAAACAAAACCTCCTGGAAAGGTAAAAAGAAATTTAAAAATTTGAAAGTGTAATAGAGGAACTGATACAATATCATTGTCAAGTTGGTGGCCTACAAGAGAAAGTAAAATAAATCCTCACAACACAAAGCCAAAACATAGAGACAAAAGAGATGGAAATCTTTGGGGGAAAGAGAAGCAGTGTGAAGGAGAACCATGAAGAGTAAGAGGAGAAAGAGGAGTGTGAGAAAAAGAAAGTGAACTCAGAATCTGGGGAATCATTTGCTGGGTAATTTTTCAGGTTCTTTTTGCTTTAGTAAGGCTTTTTTGGTTGTTGTTGTTTGTTTTGTTTTGCTTTAGAATGGGTAATATCGGTGTGTCATGAACCAAGGTTATAATTAAGCCACTTATCTGCAGTTCAAGTCCCAGACCCCCAAAGTTTTAAGTAAGGATTGGAATAGGTTATATTAATAAATGTAAATAAAGAGACTCATTCAGTGGCAGAAAATTAAAAGTCCAGTGGCAGAATGTATGCCCGAAACATCAAGCAGGACCAAGAAACTCATCACATATAATAATCACTACCACTCACCATGACCACAAAGTCACTAAATGGCACACATTTTATGTATCAAACAACATAAAGCAAAATAGATGTGGAAAATCATCTTGAGATTGATGGAGAATTTAACTCTAAAATGATATACTGGATAAATAAAATGTGGGACATCTATACCATGGAATACTATGCAGCCATAAAAAGGAATGGAATCATGTCCTTCGCAGGGACATGGATGGATGTAGGAGCCCTTATCCTCAGCAAACTAACACAGGAACAGAAAACCAAACACCACATATTCACACTTATAAGTGGGGACTGAATGATGAGAACACATGGACACATGGTGGGGAACAACACACACTGGGCTCTGTCTGGGGTGTGTTGGGGGAGAGAGAGCATCAGAAAGAATAGCTAATGGATGCTAGGCTTAATACCTAGGTGATGGGATGATCTGTGCAGTAAACCACCATGGCTCACATTTACCTGTGTAACAAACCCGCACATCCTGCATGTGTATCCTTAAAGTAAAAATTAAAGAAAATAATAATAATAATAATAATAATAATAATAATAATAATAATACTAGAAGAAGAAGCTTCAATGTGTTTCTTTATTAATAAACAGATTTAAAAACATAAGTAAGGTCAAATAAGATTTAAATAATATCACCAACAAGCTTGATATAATAAATATTTACATATAAAACTTAAAACCAAAGAAGGAGTTTGTATTTTTTTAGAGCAATGGAAGATTTGCAAGAGTTGTTCATAGGCTTAGGTTCAAAGATAACTTCAATACATTCTAAAAATGTACAGACGTACCACCCACATAATCTGAATAAAATTCCAGATATCAGAAATAAACAACAAAAATAAATTAAAACTTCTTAGCTGCTTAGATATTATTATTATTATTATTGTTATTATTATCATTTGAGATGGAGTCTTGCTCTGTTGCCCAGGCTGGAGTGCAGTGGCATGATCTTGGCTCACTGCAAACTCTGCCTCCTAGGTTCAAGTGATTCTCCTGCCTCAGCCTCCCAAGTAGCTGGGATTCAGGCATGTGGCACCATGCCCAGCTAATTTTTGTATTTTTAGTAGAGATTGGATTTCACCATGTTGGCCAGGCTGGTCTCGAACTCCTGACCTCAAGTGATCCACCCACCTTGGCTTCCCAAAGTGCTGGGATTATAGGCGTGAGCCAAAATGTCGGGCTTTAACTGCTTAGATTTTAAACAATTGTCCTAAAGAATCCCTGGACAAAGGAACAATGACAAAAATCACAAAATGTATTTCAGGAAAAAGTATTGGAAAAGAGAACATGCCCTATGAACCTTAGCAACAAACAGAAGCAGCAGACACACTGATATCTACTATACGTCCATGTTACAAAAGGAGTATCCACATCCAAGTTCGAACATCAGTTAAAGAGGTGGTTTTAGTGGAAATACTGTCATTTTGAATGTTTAAAAAGGGTAGTCATAGGAGAAGTTGTCGGACATATTTTAAGGAGAAATAACTTTTTCAGGTCATACTCAGAGGTGTTTAGAAGAGCTCAAATCTAGAAACATGAGAATTGTTTGAGAAGGAGAACCTAGAAGACTTGAGGTCACCTTGAAAATGTGGGTGAGATGACAGCTTGCAATAAAATACAAGATTCCAGAATTCTTGGTATGACAGGAAAATAGTTAATGTGCAACCCTGTCATATCTTGATGCATCTGCTGATGGCTATTTTTTCAAAACCTCTAGAGCATGACCACTAAATAGCATAACGTTCACATTTTTGTCCTCTCTCTCATTTTCTTCTTTTTAACGAACGGTTGGGAAAAAAACAAAAAACAAAAAACAAAAACCAGCAAACAAAAACCAAAAGAAAAAAAAAAACATCACCAATAAACAAAAGAAGCTTCACCATCATTTGGGCCAAAGAAAGGGGTGCTTCATTTTCCCCGGAAAGATATGCCCTTCCTTCATTTGCTAAAAGCTGTTGATGACCACTTCGAAAAGAAACTCCACTTTGACTCTGAATTGCAGCAGTCTCTTTTTTTTTGATCCAGCTGCCGTGGAAGTGCATTGTCGAGCTAGATAAAAGGTTGTTATTGGAACAAAAAAATTGTGTTTTTTCCTTCCTATGTAATATGTAATAAAACTATTCTATGAAGTCTCAATGAACTCTCTCAATTGAGAAAAATACAGACAATTTTCATTATAAGTGAATGTCTCCAATTCATTCCTTTTCTATGGAAGGAAGACATGCAACAGTAACTTACTGTAGGCCACATTTCATAAGATATAATCTATTCCATTATTCTTGTGTATGTTTCATATGAAAAATGTTATGAAGTTTTTTCCCCTCACAAAAATACATATTCCCTTATCTCATTAAGTCCCTATCTCACACAACACCATTCCTCTACTGTCGCCCAGACCCCCAGCTCCCCTGCTCCCCCGCTGGGGTCTCAGCCTGTATTGCTATTTCAGAAATATAAAAGAAATGCATGCATTTCATTCACGCACAGTCAGTCCATTATTCAATTTAAAATCTCTGGCAAATGTAGATGAAATTCTGAGAATGAAATGAACCTGGTTTTGGTTGACTGTGCCTGATGAGATTCAGCATTATCTCCAAAATGCTATGACTTACATTTTTTGTTGTATGTAGAACGTTCTATTTGTTTCTAGAAATTACAGTGTTTTTGCCTAGCAATGACCTTACGCTGGTCACAGGTACCCATGTGAAACCAGTTAGTCTAAGCAAGCATTATAACCCTGAACACTGGATTTATCAAACACATTTAACATAGTGTGTGCTTGAAGCTTTATGTTTGATTATAAAATTAATACATGCTTATTTTTGAAAATTCAAATACCGTAAAGCACGTTAACAAAAAAAGTAAAGTGTTCTACTTCCCCTCTCTTCTATAGTTAACCCGTTTCTGGATAGTCTCTGTGTTTAAAGGTTAGGCATGAACCTTCACACAGATGCTTACCCTCCCTCACTCCCCTACATAAATATTCATGTGTATTTTACATACTTTTTATTCTTTTTAAAACTATAAAATAATACTGTACATGCTGTTCTGCAGAAATCATTTTTGCTCAGCATATTATCAGTAAATCTCTGTGTTACTTCCTACAGATCTGTTACATTCTTTTGAATAGCTACATAACATTGCCTTTTGCTCTTAAAATCAAAGCTGCAATGAAGATCACTTTGCATAAAGATTTCACTATACTTGATTGCCGGGTCAAAGAAAGTTTATTTTTTATTTTGATAAAGTATGTATTTTGAGATTTTAATAAGATAAAATATTACTTTAAATGATTTTAATAGCCCTATTAAAAATTACACCAAATTTATATTCTCTGTTACGTACTCCAATAGCATTACTCTATGAGTAAAACACATTCTATTCTTTGTGACATGCTTAATATTCCTTTCTTAGAGTCATAGACAAAAGACAGGAACTGGCTAGAAGCATGATCTTATTTTAAAAATTAGACGTGAAGGCCAGGTGCAGTGACTAACGCCTGTAATCCTAGCACTTTGGGAGGCCGACGTGAGTGGATCACCTGAGGTCAGGAGTTCAAGATCAGCCTGTCCAACATGGCAAAACCCTGTCTCTACTAAAAATACAAAAATTTGCCAGGTGTGGTGGTGCATGCCTGTAATCCCAGCTACTCAAGAGGCTGAGGAAGAAGAATCACTTGAACACAGGAGGTGGAGGTTGCAGAGTGCCGAGATCACGCCGCTACACTCCAGCCTTTGCGACAAGAGTGAGACTCCATCTCAAATACACACACACACACACACACACACACACACACACACATATATATTAATTAGTCGTGGAGTCCCTTGGAAATAGGTTTTGCCCACAGCCCTATTACCAATGTGGATTTGTGACTATGGACACATTATTAATATCAGTGTCCATGTGGTTCTAGTGAAAGTTAGCACATGTCCTAAGTATTTGCAGGGTTGTAATAAACATAAAAAGAAAAATATGCAGGGAAGATATATTCAGGTAAATGCACTCTAGAGAAAAATGCATTTGGTTACATATAACACACACACACACACACACCACAAATAAATGAGATAATATGCCATAAATGATGAAATGAGACCAAATCTCATCAGTGTCAGTTCATAAATATCTTAAAACTGTCTAATGACAGACGCCTCATCATTTTCAGTCAAGGCATATTATAAGCCAGTTAGTAATAGCTAGTTATTCATTAAGTATGTTTTGAATTTCTATAGTTGACATTCAGAAAAAATATTTTCTTAGCAGCTTGCATTAGATTCCCTTTTAATTCAACTATTTGAGTTTGGAAGACACTTTAATAAGTCTGTTTATGTTAATAGCAGTAATAATAGTAAATACTTTTGTGGCACTTATTGTAAGCCAGATGCTATCATATGCATTATATGTACGTTAATCCATTTAATCTTCCTGACAACCCCTGAAGTTGTTTTACAGGTGAGACACAGAGAGGTTAAGCAGACTACCCAATGTCACACAGCAAGTAAATGACAGGCTCTGGACTTAAATTAAAACAATCTGGATCCAAGTCTATGCTATTATCCAGAATACTACATAATCGTTCTTCTGTGCTGTGACAGATAGCACTTTAAAATGTAGTTATTAGCTAGTACCAATTTTTCAGACAAGGAAAGTACTAAATGAGGATAGAAACTTACTTGATCCGGAGTAGGAAAAAGAACGAAGAGAAGAACATCTTTGTAGTTACAAGTGGCTATGGTGGGTGTGCAAAGAAACCCATTTTGTGACTGTCCATATCTTCAATTAAAGTATGAAAACAATAAGACGTTTAATTTGAATAACTTCTGGTAGAGACTGGTGAGAAGGCAGGGTTTTGCCCCTAAAAGAGCACAGGATAAAAACTGAGAGAGTATCCATGGCTACAGAAGCCAGGCAGGTGAACTGTTCCCCTTATAACAAGAAAAATTCCTGGAGAGCTTTGGTTTAAAGTATATATCCTCCCAGGCTACGTAATGGGAGGTTGAATCTGATTCAAATAGATTTCCACTGGGAAGAACTCAGCTAACCTCTAGGTTTCACCTGCTAAATGCCAAGCACTGATTACATTTTGGCAATGCAAAGATATTCATCAAATCAATTAACTAGGACTACCTGAACTACTCTGATTTCAGGAGAAGGTGGTGGTGGTGGTGGTGGTTGATGGGTCATGACATGGAACATTGTCCTGAAAATTGGCCCTTGACCTTGGACCATAAAAGATAGCTGGAGAACAAGTGTGAAACTCTAAGAGAGACCGAGGGAAAAAATGATATGGTTAAGATCAAGACGATTCCCTTCATTAGATAGAAACAGTTTAACTGCTTTCCAAGAAAACAGCTCCAGCTAACATTGAGTAGCTTTTCTTCTTAATCTGCCAACTCTTTAGTTAATTAATTGGGATAATTTCCAATAGATAAATGGATTTGGAAACTTGATAGTCAGCTTAAAGATTGTTTTGTTTCCTTTTTCAAACAACTGTATTGATGTATGATTGACACACAAAATGCTGTACATATTTAATGAACACAACTTGATGAGCTCGGGGAAAAGTAGACACTCATTAAACTATCACCACAATCTATGCAATAAGCGTATCCATTACCTCCCAAAGTTTATTTATTTATTTATTTATTGAAATGGAGTTTCACTCTTGTCGCCCAGGCTGGAGTGCACGATCTCGGCTCACTGCAACCTCTTCCTCCCAGGTTCAAGCAATTCTCCTGCCTCAGCCTCCTGAGTAGCTGGAATTACTGGCATGCACCACCACACCTGGATAATTTTTGTATTATTAGTAGAGACGGGGTTTCACCAGGTTGGCCAGGCTAATCTCAAACTCCTGACCTCATGTGATCCCTCCGCCTCAGCCTCCCAAAGTGCTGGGATTATAGGCATGAGTCATCGCACCCAACACTGTCTTTATTTAATATTACTATTTTTTTTGTGATGACACTTAACATAAGATCTACCCTCATAAAAAAAATTTTAGTATACAATACAGTATTGTTAACTATAAACACTGTGCTATAGAGTCGATGTCTAGGTCTCAGGCATCTTGCATAGCTGAAACTTTGTGCCCCTTGACATTCTCCCCAACCCCTGACAACCACCATTTCCTGCTCTGCTTCTGTAAGTTTGACTATTTTCGATTCCTCACATAAGTGGCATCAGTTATTATTTGTTTTCTGGCTCTCAATTATTTCACTTGATGAATGTACTCCAGGTTCATTCATGTTACTGAAAACGGCAGAATTCCTCTCCTGTCCCCTGCCCTCACCATTGAGGACCTAAAGGATAATGAAAGGGGGGAATCTGTGCCCTAAATAATCCCTTTTGGCAGTTACTTTCTGTTTTCAAAGTTCAGCTCTCCCTCTCCCTCTCCCTCTCCCTCTCCCTCTCCCTCTCTCTCTCCCTCTCTCTCCACGGTCTCCCTCTCCCTCTCCCTCTCTCTCCACGGTCTCCCTCTCCCTCTCGCTCTCTCTCCACGGTCTCCCTCTCCCTCTCCCTCTCTCTCCACGGTCTCCCTCTCCCTCTCCCTCTCTCTCCACGGTCTCCTTCTGTTGCCGAGCCAAGGCTGGACTGTACTGCCGCCATCTCCGCTCACTGCAACCTCCCTGCCTGATTCTCCTGCCTCAGCCTGCCTGGGATTGCAGGCGCGCGCCGCCATGCCTGACTGGTTTTTGCTGGAGTGCAGTGGCGTGATCTCGGCTCGCTACAACCTCCACCTCCCAGCCGCCTGCCTTGGCCTCCCAAAGTGCTGAGATTGCAGCTTCTGCCCGGCTGCCACCCCATCTGGGAAGTGAGGAGCGTCTCTGCCTGGCCGCCTATCGTCTGGGAAGTGAGGAGCGCCTCTTCCCGGCCGCCATCCCGTCTGGGAAGTGACCAGCGTCTCTGCCCGGCCGCCCATCGTCTGAGATGTGGGGAGCGCCTCTGCCCCGCCGCCCCGTCTGGGATGTGAGGAGCGCCTCTGCCCGGTCGCGACCCCGTCTGGGAACTGAGGAGTGTCTCTGCCCGACCGTCACCCCGTCTGGGAGGTGAGGAGCGTCTCTGCCCGGCCGCCCCGTCTGGGAAGTGAGGAGCCCCTCCGCCCGGCAGCCGCCCCGTCCCGGAGGGAGGTGGGGGGCAGCCCCCGCCCCGCCAGCCGCCCCTTCCGGGAGGGAGGTGGGGGGCAGCAGCCGCCCCGTCCGGGAGGTGGGGGGCCCCTCTGCCCGGCCGCCCGGCCTGGGAAGTGAGGAGCCCCTCTGCCCGGCAGCCGCCCCGTCTGGGAGGTGGGGGGCAACCCCCGCCGGGGCAGCCGCCCCGTCGCAGAGGGAGGTGGGGGGCAGCCCCCGCCCCGCCAGCCGCCCCTTCCGGGAGGGAGGTGGGGGGCAGCAGCTGCCCCGTCCGGGAGGTGAGGGGCGCCTCTGCCCGGCCGCCCGGCCTGGGAAGTGAGGAGCCCCTCTGCCCGGCCGCCACCCCGTCTGGGGGGTGTACCCAACAGCTCATTGAGAACGGGCCATGATGACGATGGCGGTTTTGTCGAATAGAAAAGGGGGAAATGTGGGGAAAAGAAAGAGAAATCAGATTGTTACTGTGTCTGTGTAGAAAGAAGTAGACATAGGAGAATCCATTTTGTTCTATACTAAGAAAAATTCTTCTGCCTTGGGATGCTGTTAATCTATAACCTTACCCCCAACCCCGTGCTCTCTGAAACATGTGCTGTGTCCACTCAGGGTTAAATGGATTAAGGGCGGTGCAAGATGTGCTTTGTTAAACAGATGCTTGAAGGCAGCATGCTCCTTAAGAGTCATCACCACTCCCTAATCTCAAGTACCCAGGGACACAAACACTGCGGAAGGCCGCAGGGTCCTCTGTCTAGGAAAACCAGAGACCCTTGTTCACATGTTTATCTGCTGACCTTCCCTCCACTATTGTCCTATGACCCTGCCAAATCCCCCTCTCCGAGAAACACCCAAGAATGATCAATAAATACTAAAACAACAACAACAACAAAAACAAAACAAAAAAAAGAAAATGGCAGAATTTTCTGCTTTATTAAAGCTGGATCATATTTTATTGCATATAAAAAGCAGACATATAGACCAATGAAACTGAATAGAGAGTCCAGAAATAAAACCATACGTATATGCTCAACTCGTCTTCAACAAGGACACCAAGAATATCAATGGGGAAAGCAATGTCTTCAGTGAACGGTATTGAAAAACTGAATATTCACATGCAAAAGAATGAAATTGGATCCTTATCTCACACTATACACACAAATCAACTCAAAATCAATTGAAGACTAAAACTTGAAACCTGAAATGAAAATATTAAGAAGAAAACATAGAAAAAAGTTTTTTGACACTGATGTTGGCAATGATTTCTTGCATGCGACCCCAAAAGCATAGTTGACAAAAGCAAGCATAGTTGACAAAAGCAAACATACACACATGAGACTCCATCAAACTAAAAAGCTTCTGCACAGCAAAGGAAACAATCAGCAGAATGAAGAAACAAACTATGGAATGAGAGAAAATATTTACAAACCTTATATTTAATAAGTAATTAATATTTAAAATACATAAGGAGCTCCTACAACTGAACGGCAAAAAACCAAATAGCCCAATTAAGAAATGCGAAAAGGACTTCAATAGATATTTCTCCAAACATACAAATGGCCAACAGGTATACGAAGAGATCGTCAACATCACTAATCATCCAGGGAATGCAAACCAAAACCACAATGAGGTATCACCTCATACCCATTATAATGGCTATTATGAAAAACAAACAATAACAAAAGACAGCAAGTGTTGACAAGGATTTAGAGAAAAGTGGACTCTTGTACATCATTGGTGGGAAAGTGGTGCAGCTGCTATAGAAAACATTATAGAGGGTCCTCAAAAACTGAAAAACAACCACCCTATGATTCAGCGAACTCACTTCTGGATATATATGTATATACATATAATCTCCAAAGGAATTGAAAGCAGAATATTAAAATGATATCTGCACTCCCACAGTCATCACAGCATTATTCACAATAGCCAAGACACTGAAGTAACTTAAAAGTTCATTGATGGAGGAGTGCCTAAAGAAAATATGGTATCTACAAACAATAATTTTGTTTCTGATGAATGTATACATCATATTAGAATTTATATCCTTTCTAGAAAAAATAAAAGACACCTGCAAAACTCATCATTTAATTTAGGGAGAAAATACTGCTGTAAGAAGGGCAAGGCTTCATACAAAATATAGAAATAATTATTCATTTGCTCAGAATCAGGAACTCTTAGTTGGTGTCAAAGGAAATCAAACAGTGAAGACTTATTTATAATATCTCAAGAGATAAGGACACCCAGTTTATTATTATCGCTTATCTGGGTAGTTTCTTTAAAATATGTTTTATTAAGATTCATCAAATACTGACTACTGATCCACAATATAGGTGGGCTAGCAATTAACCAAATAATTTTTTCTAATACATTTGTAAAATAACTAGCAAAAGAGAATCAATATAGGTAGGCATTATGAGAACTACAGCAGCATCTTATTTATTTGAGGAGCCTCTGCCGTAATGCCAAGTACAAGACATGAGAAGCTGAGAATGTTCAGTAATCGGTTGCCAAACTTAGGAAATGATTCTGAGCTTCAAGCTGCTTATAATCTATTTGAAGAGACAAATTTAATATATAAAACCAATGAAAAAAGAATTCAGTGTCAAAGTAGTCTTCCTTATCTCTAAGGGTAAGCAGGAGTTGAGAATATGAGAAGGAAAACCTGCACCAGAATAGTAAAGACCTATGCTGATTTACAAAAACAATTTTTATTATATATTTAAAAGAATTTAAGAACTTTTGATAATACTCCTATGGGAAAAAGGGAGAAGCTGATGGAGGCATTTGCACACTAAATCCATTTTATTACTCCTAGTCACATCCAAATCACAGAATAGGAGAGGCCAGTGATTCTCTGCAAGCATCGAGGAGGCCAGTGTTTCAGGATCCTTTTTACCCAGATTATTTCCTGTCTGAAAGGAAGCAGTGATGAGCTGTATGGATTTGAGTTATTGAAACTTCCTCTTCTTGCAGAAATTCGACAGGGAAGAAAAGCAAGTCACCAGGGACTGTATCCTTGATTAGTGGCTGCGATCCTGCAACACACTTCATCCTGCCCAATCCCCATCGATGTTGGCATTTTCCTACTCAATTGATGTCCTCATATTTTCCCTGCTCCATCTACACACCATATATTTCCTCAGGTTAGTCCATAACTCTTATTCTTTTCTCCTCTTGCTTGATCTGTAAAATAATTTGTACTCACGTGTTCACATATCATAAGAAATAATTACACTCAAGGTCAAGATCAAGTGAAATTGCTTACATTTCTTCTCTCTCTCTCTTTTTTTTTTCTCCAGGGCTTTACAATTGAACCCCATGGATTGTCCTTAATTAGATTTTAGAGGAATCACTTTTCTAATTTCTGGTTTCATATATATAACCATTCACAAGCACACATATGTGTATGTACATGCATATACACGTAGAGAGGCAGTTCACTTATGTATGTATATATGATGTGTGGGTGTGTGGGGGTGTGTGTATGATTTGTGTGTGTGTGTTTGTGTGTAATATATAACGCTGGCACCAAAAATGGCTGTTGAAGTCTCATATCAGGTAATTCTAAATGAATATCTGAAATGGCTAAAAGGCTTTTGTCAGTTAGATAATTCATTTATTTATCATCTCATTTTTTTTCATTCATAAGCAAAGCCTAATGATTAGGGTGGCTTGAGAATTTTCTTTTCTGAGAGTTGTAAGGACGCAAAAAGAGCTCCACCCATCTACCTGAGAAGAAACTGTGCTCCTAAATAAGTGAGTTCTTTTAGAAAAAAAGAGAATATATTGCATGTAGAGTTTGTTAAACTTTGCATTTCAGTCAACAGCCACCTAGAGATATCAGTTTCACCTGTATATACATGGAATATCATAGAATATAATACTGTGCTCCACAACTGCCTCCCCTAGCTTCTGTGCCCTCTTTGTTCATCCCTCATCCACATTCTCACCCCAGGCTGCACATCTACAGAATAAGTTCCGAGTCTGTCATTTGGGGAGGGTAGAAACAATGTCTCATTCATTCGTCTTAGTGTTCCTACAGCTTAAAATACAGTCAGTGTTTATTTATTTTTACTTTTTATTTTTTAACATTTATTTTAGTTTCAGAGGGTACATGTGCAGGTTTGTTACAAAGGTAAATGCATGTCATAGGGGTTTGTTGTACAGATTATTTCATCACCCACGTACTAAGCCTAGTACCCAATAGTTATTTTTTTCTGCTCCTCTCCCTCCTCCCACCCTCCACCTTCGAGTAGTCCTCAGTGTCTGTTGTTCCCTTCTTTGTGTTCATGTGTTCTCATCATTTAGCTCCCACTTATAAGTGAGAACATGTGGTATTTGGTTTTCTGTTCCCGTGTTTGTTTGCTGAAGATAATGGCTCCCACCTCCATCCATGTCCCTGCAAAGGACATGATCTCATTCCTTGTTATGTCTGCATAGTATTCCATGGTGTATGTGTACCATATTTTCTTTATCCAATCTATTCTTGATGAGCATTAGATTGATTCCATGTCTTTGCTATGGTGAACAGTGCTGCAATGAACATTCATGTGCATTTGTCTTTGTGGTAGATTTTATGATAAAGACACCAAAAGTAATCGCAACAAAAGCAAAAATTGACAAATGGGATCTAATTCAACTTAAGAGCTTCTGCATGCCGAAATAAACTATCAACAGAGTAAACAGAAAACCTACAGAATGGGAGAAAATATTTGTAAACAATGTGTCTGAAAAAGGTCTAACATCCAGCATCTATAGGGAACTTAAATTTACGAAAGAAATACATCCCCATTAAAAAGAGGACAAAGGACATAAACAGACACTTTTCAAAAGAAGATATACATGTTCCCAACAAGCATAGAGTAGATGTTTAATCACTATGTATTGAAACTTATGTACCTGAATAAAGAATTTAATAATCACGTTTTGCAATAGCTCTATGCAAAACAGCATTGTGACGAGGTTGGGAGCAAGTAAAGGGTTGCAGAGGATGCAGCAGCAGGGAGTCAGGGGATTACATAACCCACCCTGGGCATTAGTCCATTCTCGTCTGACTCCCTACTTCTTCTGGCATCGTGTTGGCTAGTCCTACCTAGTCTGCACACACGATCTCTTTTAACACTAATGACCATATTGCTGGTAAGAATTATTACTCATGTTTTACTGCCAATAAAGCACCCAATGGATACATTTCACTCAATAAAAAGCATCCCTCTTCTCCAACCATTAAACAGTTTCCTACTTATTTCCAACTCAAAATAATCCCTCTGCTCACTTAGGCTATATCCCAGAAGTTAGTATTCTTTGCAATTCCCACCTTGTATTGAAAATATATTTTCCCGGCTGGGTGTGGTGGCTTACGCCTGTAATCCCAGCACTTTGGGAGGCTGAGGCAGGTGGATCACGAGGTCAGGTGTTTTTGAGACCAGCCTGACCATCATGGTGAAACCCCGTCTCTACTAAAATACAAAAAATTAGCCAGGCATGGTGGCGCGCTCCTGTAATCCCAGCTACTCAGGAGGCTGAGGCAGGAGAATGGCTTGAACTGGGGCGGGGGCGGGGGTGGGGGAGGCGGGGCGGAGTTTGCAGTGAGCCGAGATCGGACCACTGCACTCCAGCCTGAACAACAGAGCGAGACTCTGTCTATATATATGTGTGTGTGTGTGTGTGTGTGTGTGTGTGTGTGTGTGTGTGTGTGTGTGTGTGTGTGTATTTTCCCACAGGTCTAGGAAGTCACCCTGCAAATAGGAGACTTAGCCTGATATCTGATATTCCAGAATTTCAGAGGCCTCTTTCTTCATGGCCCGTGGTTGTAGTAGAGACACTTGTTGGATACGTGGATAGATGGATGGGTAGATATTTGAGTAGGCACAATACAGAAAGGTGAATAATGACTTCTACACATTTTTAATATGCCCAGGTCTCAATATGATTGTGCGTCAGAGTCTGATGTATGCCTGTTGTGTTGCTTCACCACCTCACGTGTTCTTACACGGATGTCTGAATACATATCATCAGACTCTCCCAGGCTCTGAGAAGTAAAGGCTGAGTTAATGGCCCCATGCTTCAATCCACTCCTTTACTCTCTCTGTTTGAAAGAATGCGATTTTTATTCTAAATACTCGTTAAACTTCAGAGCTCTGAATTCACCCCAGAAACATCAGAGTCTACTTTTCATTTTATCATATAAACTATATACAGCAAATTCAGGACCATGCAATGTTCCCCAGGCTCTCACATTTCATTGTCCTACTAAATCTAATTGAGGCAAATAATTTTTATATCTCTTCATGATGTAAAGAGTTTCCTTTTCTTGGTTTCATTTTTTCAAAGCATATGTGGTCATTCAATATATCAAATTTGAAATTTAAGGAAAATTATCCCCTACATGTAGATAATATGGAAGATTTTTAAAAAAATAACCATATGGATTTTAATTTGGCACAAATACCATGTATTTCTATACAGGGTGAGTTAAGGTGTATGCTTCTCAAGTTCACATCATTCTTCATGGTCTTGTGACTTAGAATTAAAGCTGAAATATCACCTGCTGAGCTCCTTGTCCCACTTTTCTCCACCTTCTGTATGAATAAAATCCCATTTTCCTTCTTTCATAATTCAAAGAAACTGACATATTTAATCAGAGATAACAGATTTTATTAGACCAAAGGCATGAGGAAAAATATCCAGGTGTTACTCCTCAACTGCAATTAATAAAGTTTCATGGTGGTTCAATTCATTAGGACAAATTAAGAGTCTGTAATAAATCCTTTAATTAACTTTCTAACTTTCAGCTTTTTTAAATGATTAATGTTGCTTGTACAAAGGAGTCTACTGTGGCAGGAATGACCAGGAACATAATAAGCAAATCCAATTATTATATTGTCAAATGAACCTGACTTCACACTGGACTCAGAGGACCATTCTTAAAAAAATTACACAAAATAAGCTACTTAAATAAGTATCTGATTAGTGTGAGAAAAAATATCCAATAGCTTAACAAATTTCATGGATTTTTATACATGAAGTATCCTGGCTGCCTATTTATTATATAATGGTGTTTTCTATGTAATGGTCAATGTTAAACTTATTTTTTGTTGCATATAAATAGATTTATATTTAATAGAATAGATATAGTAACATCTGTATAGCATTAGATTTATAGACTTAAAATTGCCTAGCCACTTCACATAAATATATTAAATATTTTACCATTACTTTCTGGATGATTAAGAACTAAGTTATTTAGATAAATTACCAAACTTCATTACTTTAAATATGCAGTCTTAAGGCTTCACTAAAAAAAAAAAAAGATACAATTGAGCATTGTGAAAATAGCATAAAATTTGTATGTGTTTTTAGCATGGTTTTTATAAGACATTTATTTTCTTTCTGATGGCACAAGATAACATATAATTATTAATAGCATTCATCTTTACTGCTACATTTGAAAATATGTAAACCTTAGTGCATAACTGGCATTCCTTTTCTAACCCCTATAATGTTGGTTAAAGAGACCTGGGTTTTCTGTTACTAAAAAAGTTATTTTTAAGTTGCTGGCATTTCTTGTTTGTTATAACCACACTTCCCTTTTAAAAAATTAATATATCTTAGTGATTTGGCAGAAAGCATAGCTATAAAAATACAATGCAACTATTTTACATTTATAATATTTTTCTTTTCTAAAAATAACTTTGGTTAGATCTCTAAAATTTGGTTTATTTTAGATCCATAAGCATTCAACATATTATAGTAAAAAAGTTCACTATCACAAAACTGCTTAAATGAATGAACTCATACTCATAGAAATATATGTAATGAGAAGGTTGTAATTCTCAGCAGGAGTTGGTCACTAAATACAGTAACAGAAACAAGGAAGGAATTCTGTCTTCAGGAAAACTGATTATTCTAAAAAATTAAATCTGCCAATCAAGTTAGTCCTTTGCATAGTAAAGCTGTTGATAATCTGAAATCTACCTAATACAATTAGTTTAAAAGTTTGTATAACCTCCGATGGTGGTAAGTATTCCATATAAGTATAATAAACAATGCTTGTCTGCTTTAAAAGCCAGCAGAAAACTTACCTTTTCCATACAGCTTTTCGGGGCACCCTTATTCATTCCCAGATGTAAGATGAGCAAACCTCTCCTGATCTTCACTCATTGTCATCTTCATTACATAACTTTTCTGTGTTACTGAGATACAGCAACCATTATATATTTGTATCTGGGATCCTAATTATTGTGTTACCTTACAGTTCTATTTCCTATACTTTTCACATTCCATCTTAGTTTTTAAATATTTATTCATTCCATAAATATTTATATTCTATTATATATACACTAATATAAATATATATTTATATACATTTCCTTACATCAACCACATTTTAAAAAACCCCACTTTGGGAGGCAATGAGATGATTTAAAAGTAGCTACTACTTGTCTCAAAGGGTTTGCTACCTGAACAGGAAGAAGTGCTGGGGATTAAATAGGTAGTAACTGTGCATTGTTGAACACTGTGCAAGTAATTAGGGTATTCAGAAGGCATCAAAATTTTTTATACTGAGGCAAGTAGCAAAATAGGAGCATCCAATTTACATTTTACAAAGGAATAGAAGAAGTTGGCCATGTAGAAATATTAAAGAAGACAGTACCAAGCAGATAAAACAGAAACGACCATAAGGGTGGAAGTTTAAGGGGACAGAGAATAATTTGGCTTGAGAATGTGAGTCTTCATAAGGGAAAGAATGACGAGATAGCATGCAGTAAGTGGGACTTGGTGAAAACGTTAAGTTTCTTGAGTATGAAGATAAGAAATTGGGACTTTGAGTCAAATGCTAGCTTTGTGTTCCACTGCTGACTCTTCAAAACTATAATTTTTGAAGGTTGAACTATAATTTTATATTTTCTGTAAGCTTCTGCACATTGTACTCACATACTTGGGATCCACTGACTCCGACCTTCCTCTAGTGATGTAGCTAAAATTTGGGGAATCATAAGTATACCAGATCCAATGTTTCTACACAGTATTAAGAAATGATAGTCAGGGTAAACCTTCAATAGTTGGTATGCCTGCCAAAAATTTATCTAAATATACCCGGTCACTTTGCCCTACAAGTTCGCTTAGAAATGTTGATAAAGCAGGCTTTCTACAGAATGGTTATTTCCTTTCTAACTTGCACGAAACAAAATTTACTCTGGCAATCAACTTTTCACCTAGTATTTTGACATAAGTACCGAAACTAGAAAATCAATGATGCACAGACAGATTTCTGTTCCCCTTCAATAAAAATCTGGCATTATTTAATATTCGGGTTAACAACAACAAAAAACCTCAAGTAATCTTGCTCTGTAGTTCTTATTTTCGCTCTTCTTTCATTCAATGTTAAATGAGCAATTACTGCATACTAGATACTGTGTCAGATGACAGGACTACCAAAAGGGATATGTCCCTGACCTCAAGGACCTCTCCTTGGGTAGAGAGTATGCACAATGAAATAGTGATAATAAATTGTGATAAGCACTACAGCAGGGATATTAAATATTAAATACTTGCTGAAAGCCCAAAGGAAATAGCTATTGCTGCATGGGTTTGCTATTACTACTGAATGTCCATTTGATAATGTTTTAATAATCATATTAATCAGGATAAAACAATCCATTGATTCATATAAACTTCCTTTATCTCCGTGTTGGTAGGCAGCAGCAATATGTTTCACAACTATGTTGGTTTAAAGCCCTTTCTATTAAATATAAGGTCAAGTAGAGAGTCAAAGGGAAACCTGTGTGCTATGCTTAGCCCCCAACTCCTCCTCTTTGTCAGTGAGATTATGCATCCCACGTGGTCTGTTTCCTTAGATAACTGAATTATGATGGACATGTCAATCAGACAAGAAAATTATTGGCTTATTAACAGCTTACTTTATAAATTCTGACAGCCAGTCCCTATACTATTGGACACAGTAGTTTATGCAACATTTGCTATGCATTTGCTGAAGATTTAACATAAGTCATTATTTCAATGTCTAAGTCCTTATAAAGTCTAATTGAGAAATAGAAGTCCCAAAGCAATGAAGATTTATATCATTCGCCCTAGGTCAAAAACTGATCTTTATAAAAATGGAATTCAAAATCTTCATTCTTCTATTAGAAAATGAAGTGAAACTCTGAAAACTTCTAATACCTTTCCCCCAAATGTATCACCCTACATTTTTCATCTTTTTATTAAGCTGTACAGAGATATTTAATAGGACTATTCTTGTTTGCTTTGTATACAAAGCATATTCCACTTGAACATGCTTATTCCACTTGAGCAATCCTTAGAGTTGGCAAATTCCTAACACTATGACTTTTGTTCTCATTGACTGTTATTTGTGTGGCTCTAACACACCTTTCCATAGTTAGAAAGATAACAGAACCATAGAAGCTGACACACAGACTTGGAATGATCCTTATCTCTGGTGTGGTAATACGATGCTGCTGTGTGACCAAGGCTCTGGGAAACTTACCTCAAACCCACATATCAACAAGATACTGGATCTTGAATAACAAATTAGGGGCCTGGGAGTGAAAAGCAGAGAAAGCATTCTCTTCAATAATACAAAATCACTCCTAGAGAGAGGCTTGTCCTCTGTGAGCACAAAGGTCTCCCTTTGGGTGCCCCTATAGACAATCCCCTTTGAATTTTGTGAAAAGTTTTAGCTATTTCTCCCAGAAGTCAAGTTCATTTCAGGAAGAGAGTTTATAATCTTCTCTTATTTTTCTGGCTACAGCTTTCTCCCAGCCAAGCTATTGGGGAAAATGGTGTCTAGAAATATATGGGCTGCTATTCCAGGGTCTCCAAGCCTTCCACTGTGTCCATCTGAACTTAGTGAGTCTGTATTCTTTCTTTTCAGTGATTCTGCTCTGTTCCCTGAAGCTGTTCTGTGAACTTCCGTTTCCTTCCTATTTTGAGATGTTATGATTTAGGAGGTTAAAAATATAGAAAAAGTACTTTATGCAAAGGTTAATAATATTTTGTTAAGTTTCCCAGGCTGGTCAATTCATAAGAGGCAGGAATTTGTGCGTGGAACTGTATGCTGAAGTTAAACCAAACCTAAACCCATCCAGCAGGGGGAAAATACTCCTCTATGGTTTCTAGCTTGAGAGGATATAACTAATATGGTCAAGTCTCTATGTGAGCAAATTAGTTCTTTAATTAAATACTGATATACATAAGCCCTTTAAAAGAAAAGTGACCATAGAACAGATTAAAGCATTAAGACTTCTTGAATTTTCTTAATTGATGACTTTTCAAGCAGATGCCATGTTTCTGTGGTAATCTAGCAATGTATGGTCAATTAGTCTTCATACATGCATGTCCTAATCCAAAATCAATTTATTTAACGTATCAGATTCCTGAATATAAAATCACCAATTTAGCTACAACACAGTTAGCTTTAGACATGAACCTGTATCCTAAAAATAAGTTTGGGGTATGGAGAATATTTTGTTTATGAATCTTGTACCTGTTCATGGTCCTAAATGGACTGAAGTTCTAATGAGATGTAATTTCTTTCATGTTATGTTGCATGTTGCCTAAATTAATTCACAAGGTGTTGTAAAGGATAGCCACACCAAATAACATTTTCTTGATGCAAGATCCTAAGAAAGTATGCACAAGCAACTGATAGGCAATGTCAAGGCAAATAAAATATCCACGAGGAATATTTATTTGTAGTCACATGTGTAGCTTTTGATTTATGGTATACTAGAACCATTTTCAAGCATTTTTTCTATAAAAGGACTTCATCCACACACAGAGGACATTTCTACCTACTAGTCCTGGTTGTAGTTGGAATTGTTCTGTTTAAATGGGTGGCAATTTTTAAAGCTTTTAAGGCATTACTGGAAGAATAGCATTCTATCAGAGATAAGGAGGGGGTGGAACAAGTATGGCTGGAAAAATTAAATCGATATCCTTGAGCATTTATCCTTGTGCTCTCTCCCTTTCTCCAATGACATGAATATCACATGGCATCTGTTATTTTTCACTGGGAATGTGAAGGTTAGAGATGTGGTTTCAGAAAAATACTATTCCCAAAGGAAAGTATTGAGAAGCAATGTAAACCCAGCCATTAAGTGAACCTTACACCCTACATATATAGGGGATTTGGATTAGAAGTTCTATGTGGGCATGAAGTGAGGAGGGTTGCCCATAACATCCAACACATTAGCAAAACATTTCAAGCCAATCGTGCCGAAGGAAAATGCAATGGACATTGGCATTCAACATTTTTTTTAATGGACATAAATAAAATATCAATTTTTCATTTTTATAATGTATTTTTAATGGGGCAGAAAGAGGAGATGAAAGATGCAAAACTGAGAAAATAAAGTGATTATTGAAGAAGCATCATCTTACTTTGGACAAATAAACATGAAACAGATGGCTTGGGTTAAGAGGTCATAGAAAAACAAATTTAAAGTCTTAAGGCCAAAGTGTTCATGGCAAAATGCTTGCTGAGTTCTATAAGAATTCATAATCATATTAAGAGGTTTAAAAAACCCAAGGGACATCAGGGGCATACTTCACTGACAGATCTCTCAGGTCATAAAACTAAGAAGAAAATGTCCTGACTGAAGCATTGTCAAGGAATTTCCAGATGCCTCATCTCTGTGTGTACAGACATTGGGGAAAGTGTTTCTGTTGTTACCTCCGGGGCATTTGGAATTTGGAGTCTGCCAGTGCAGGTGGAGGCCATCCTGAAAGTCAGCTGATGAGGGTATGGTGATGGAGAGCAAAACTGGCCTGGAATAGTGGAAGCTTGAGGCCAGGAGCTACTGATTTCATAGTCCTTGGCTAGGGAATTGATTTTGTCCTATGTGCAATGGAACCACATTCTAGGTTTTCAGCTAGGAGGAGGCATTTTACATTCTCATAAAATTACCCTTCATGCAATGGGGAGAATTAATTGGAATGAGATAGGTTTGGAAGCTAAATGGCCAGTCCACAGATGATGGCTTGCTGGAAAACGTGTCAGGAAGAAGTAGGGATATAAGACAGAGCAGGAAAAAGTAGGGATATAAGACAGTACCCTGGAATGACCTTTAGATAGAGGAGAGGAGGGAACAAGATAATATAAAGGGGAAGCCTAGATTTTAGATTGACCTCCTGGGTGGATGGTATGAACCACTTACTAAGAGGAGGGAGATATTGAGTGGCTGCAAATATCCGAAGACTAAAAATCAAGCACTGGGTTTTGGACATGCTAACTGGACATGCCTATGGATAATAAAAAAAGAATAGTTAATATTCATCATGTTTTTCACTGTGTGCCAGTGAGAGTTTTAATCACTTTGAATTAAAATATTTTATTATGACAATAACTTTGCTACTATTACTATCTCCATTGTATATATGAGACAACCGAAGCCCAAAAATATTAAGTAAAAACAATCAAATCCACATAACTAAGAAATGGCAAAGGTATAATTTTACTTGCTTACTCTGTCTCCTTATCTTTAAATACTTCGTTTATACCACCTCTCCTTATACTACATTATTTAGATGATAGGTGAGCAATTAGATAATTGAATTTGAAATTCAGAAGAGAAGTCCGTACTGCACATAGACATTTAGGAGTCATT
Source organism: Homo sapiens (assembly GCF_000001405.40). Taxonomy (NCBI): domain Eukaryota; kingdom Metazoa; phylum Chordata; class Mammalia; order Primates; family Hominidae; genus Homo; species Homo sapiens. The sequence continues at coordinate 9,259,787 of NC_000010.11, read as the reverse complement.
ATGAGAACAGTTTCAGTGGAGCTATGACAGCCATTGCATGCTGAAGTAAAAGAACAGGGTGTGCAAGATAGATGCATGGAGCCAGCGTGCATTAAGGGTTCAAGAAGTTCATCTCCGAAGAGAAAAGAAGAAAGAAAATTTCCTGAAGGGACTTTGGAGCTAGGAAGGCTTAGTATTTTAGTTTGGTATTGGCGTTTCCTTGTTTTCAAGGTGGAGTATTTTTGGCTTAGGAATGAGAAAAATTTAGGAGAAAAGAAGAAGCATGTGATCCAGGAGAGAGAAAGACTAATCGAGGGAGCACACCACCACAAACAGCATGCAAATGGAGACAGAATTGAGGGTTATTGGTAAAATTCAGGTGATATTGCTTTTAGTTTTTTTTTTTTATGATGAAGGAGACAAGTTCATGAATTGAGAAAGTAGGGTAAAAAAGAGATGGTGTTCTCACTTATAAGTGGGAACTGAACAATGTGAACACATAGACAAAGGGAGGAGAACAACACACACTGGGGCCTGTTGGTGGGGGTGAAGGTAGGTAGAACATCCAGAAAAATAGCTAATGCATGCTGGGCTTAATACATAGGTGATGGGTTGATAGGTGCAGCAAGTCACCATGGCACACGTTTACCTATGAAAGACACCTGCACATACTGCACATGTACCCCAGAATTTAAAATACAATACAATAAAATAAGAGAGATAGTGTGATATGTAATTGGTATACCAGACCTCTCTCTTGGTCCCAGATTCTCTCTTCAGGGATGTGGCTTCACAGATCTATTATAACAGATCACAACTCCATGACATAAATAAAATATCAATGGACGTAATAAAATATATCCATAGTGACAATATTGTGCTTGGCACAGTAAACACACACACCCCCACCACCCCACAGTATTACAGAATCTAACAATGGTGAGAAGCATAATATTGTCAACTGTATAAAATACAAAAGTAAAGTCAAGTAAATAATTTTTTAAAAGATCATCAAATAACACTTTAAAAAGGATTGTGATTAGCTGTTTAAACCATGCAATCCTGGGAAAGCAGGCTTTTCCTGAAGTTCTGAGTACAATACTATTAAAGAAAATGCAAAGAGTTCATGCTAAGCACTCAGTCCTTCGTTTTACTCTCCTTGTCCTAAATATTTTTACCTAATGAATTAGAATCCAGAAGATTGGATCCATTAACTTTCCAGAGGGCTTCCTGGAGAAGTGCCTCTCCCCTCAGCAGTATCCTGTGAGGATAATTGTGTCAATATACACATTTTAATCTACATCCTTTGATTCTCTAAATTTATCTAACTAGCCTGGAATATTATTTGCGAGGAGCTACCTGTACCACCCACCATACATAACTACATTCTAAATCATAAAAAATAGAGATTAACTTTCATAATCTAACCAATGCTTAGATGTCAAAGTTAATTATTCTTTATAAATCAGTAAGGTCTCTAGTCTGTTCCTATTAAGTACACCTGTATTCAGAGAAGCATAGCACTGTTGTTTCTTTGGGAAATGGCAATGTCCAGTTTAGTAATTGCCTGATATATGTGTGTTCCGTGTAAAAATATGTTTATTATAATTTTTTATCCAAAAGTGTCATGATAATCAAACTTGGAAAATACACATATAATTTATTATCTGGTTTTAAAAGAAAGCAAACAAATAACAAGTAGTTCTAATTCTAGAAGAACTGAATAGCTTATAAATGATGCATATGCCAAATATTTCTTCATTCATTTATGCCTGTATTTGTTCAAGAATGTCTTGATGGATAATCAACAACATTCAGGAATATTTCATTGAACATATTTCGTGGCTCCTATTACTTTAATAAATGAATGAGTCATTAATTATTTATTTGAAGAATAGTTTGTTGAACATTTTTATAAGACATTTATTTTGTGAGCCATTTTTGTACAATTTACATTTCCAAAATGAATCAGGCAAAAATCTGCCTTCAGAAATTAATTGCAATGATAAGAGATGCTCACAAATAACATTAATAATAGTCAAATACCTTTAATAATAGTCAAAATAACAAGCATTTCTATTATCATATCTCTGTTTTATTTGCTTGTTTTCTGATGTAATTAATTCTCTGAACTCTAAGTCAGAGGACTTACCCTGGTTCCAGCTTCCTCAGAGTTAAAACATTACTGAAGAGACAATTTCTGCCTGTATATTTAATTCTGACAGTTTCTAAGAGCTATCCTGTAACATCCAGAGGATACTTTAGTTGTTATTATTTAGCTTCTTAGAGGAGTAATCAATGAATTAACCCTCCTAGACCTATTTTGTTTCTGTGCAAAAACAGTAGAAAATGGACTTTTCCTTGCTCTTATGATCAAGTCCCTAGTATATAGCTCCAATATCTCGATTCCCGCTTTATTTTTAAGTGCTTGATTCCTTTTCTCCTTATCTTTTTATATTTTATGCAATCCTCTAACTATGGGTAAATCAAACTATCTGTGATTTCTATTCCCACCTTTAAACAGCTGACCCTTTTTCAAGGAAATCACTCAGCCTTCCAATTTGTGCCACCGCTAATCAATGAGGCATGGCGTTTGGGGGAAGGTCATGCTAGAGCTCAACAGTTTTGTTTTATGTCCTGCCTCGATAACTGCCATTTTCCCTATCACTGATGACAACCCAGACCTCTCCTCCTCAAAGGACCTAACCATCTACCCCTCTTCCTCTTAGCCAGCGATCTTCCCTTGTGTTAGAAATGCTCCAAACCCCTCCCCATTATTGAGGATGAACAATCTCAAAGAGAATATAAAAACTATAATTAAGGAAACTCTCCTAAAATCTGCCTCCCCCCCCACATACATGCTTTGGCTTCTCCACTTATTCTGAACTCTGTTCATCTTGGTACAATGTGTTCTTACTTCTCTACCAAGTTAATCTGTTTTCGTGTTTCTTTTCCTTCTGTCTCCTCTGCAACCGTACTCCATCAATTTCCTCTGCTTCCTCCTGTGCCACACCTCTGTAAGTATCTCTCATCCTTAAATCAAACTCTCTTAAATTTATGTTCCTTTTAGCCACATCTCTGACCAATTCCTACGTAATCTTGCAACTCTCAAAGTAGGGACATCTTCCCTGGAAGTGTCATCCAATCTCTTCTCTCTGCTGTCTCTAGAATGCCTTCTCTCCTCCCCACCAATTTTCCAATACTACATAGTCTGGACCTGTTACATTGAAATGATCAGTTTATGTAGCTGTAGCCTCAAAAAGACCATGATCTATCAGAGGAGACTCTGTCGTGTTCATTATTGTGTCATGTTTCAGCCCGGGGCACTGTATGTAAGAGGGAGCTAGTTTAATGATCATTGAATTGAAGGACACAACTCCATGTGATTTTTTTTTCTTTTTTTAGATGGAGTTTCGCTCTTGTTGCCCAGGCTGGAGTTCAGTGGTGTGATCTCGGCTCATTGCAACCTCAGCCTCCAGGGTTCAAGGGATTCTCCTGCCTCAGCCTCCCAAGTAGCTGGGATTACAGGCATGAGCCACCGTGCTGGGCCTCCATGTGGGTTTGAAATTGTCTCAAATGCCCATGCTAATACAAAACAAAACTTGTTCTCCTCTGCGTTGGTCCCTCTTAGCAACATTATGTCCAACATGGAGGGAAATGTTTATCAAGGGAAGCAGACATAACAACAGGAGATAGTAATCAAATTTTAATTAATTAAGGGGAAAAGTGAAGAAAATGAGAAAAAATGATGCAAAGCCACATATCTGAGAAATGCAGAGGTCACAATCGAGAATTATTTTGTAAGACGAAATGTTGGAGAGACAAGAACTTAATCAAATGAAGACAGTTAATCAGATAGAACCAGTCAAATACCAAGTTGATTGACAATTGGAGTATGTTTGGGGTCCAGTTAAATGAATGACTGAATGTGAAAGGAAACCTTAAGATGGAAATGCTTGTGCTAGATGGGTTATCTCCTTATTTTTGTGTGCGTGAGTGCTGCTACCATTTACCTAGTTCCCCCAATGAGAAGGTCATGCAATATGAATTCTCCATTTTTCCACGTGCCTTCTTATATCCAATCAATTATCACATCCTATGAACTCTATCTCACTTGTCAATATAATATTCTTCTCTAGCCCACTCTGCTGCTTGAGGTCAGACACGTGTCTTATCATGCCTACACAATAAACTCTCTCCTCCTTTAGCTAATTCTTCATATTCCTTCCAGAGCAGTCTTTCTGATACACAAATACAATTGTGCGAAAAAGGAAAAAAAGAAAAGAAAAAAAAAATCCAGAGGCTCCCTAAAACCTATGTCTATTTTTCAGGTCTAGGCCACTCGGATTACCCTCTATCACCATCTAAATCACCTGTGGCCATCATTTTAGTTGCTATTTTTATTCTGTTGCTTTACAGTTCTCCTGAATGGAAAATGTCCCAAAGAAATAGCACGAGTTGGTACAATATTCCCCAACTGACTCATTATTAACTCAGGGGAAAGCTAAGAAATGCTCCAATGTCAGCTGGGTGCAGTGACTCACACCTGCAATCCCAGCACTTTGGGAGGCCAAGGAGGGTGGATCACGAGGTCAGGAGATGGAGACCATCCTGGCTAACAGGGTGAAACCACATCCCTACTAAAAATACAAGAAATTAGCCGGGTGTGTTGGCGGGCGCCTGTAGTCCCAGCTACTCGGGAGGCTGAGGCAGGAGAATGGTGTGACCTGGGAAGCAGAGTTTGCAGTGAGCCGAGATCGTGCCACTGCACTCCAGCCTGGGGAACAGAGCAAGACTACATCTCAAAAAAAAAAAAAAAAAAAAGAAAGAAAGAAAAAGAAAAAGAAACACTCCAATGTCTTTGCTGCATCCTCCTTCCCAAAATGTCTAGGTAATGTCTTTGGTGCTAAATACTTAAATACTTGCTTAGTCAATTCTTGTGCTTTTGGTGATGTTTTGTGGAGCGACAGCCTGTAGCACAAGATGATAGTCTTTTCCAAACTATTCTCAAAAAAATGCCAAAAAGGGGAGAGGGCAATAGTCTATTAAAATAATATAGTACTGTCCTATTTAGGCAACAGTATTAATACTGTACAGAGAAGCTAACTGGGGGCGAGGATACATAAACACACTGGACCAAAATCAGAGTAGTATTTGATAATAGACTTTTTTTTTTATATTCATAGAGTTATTTTTACTTCTGAAAACAGCATGTGGAATTAATCATTTGAATCATCGTGACTAAGAGGAGAATAATCACAAATAGAGAGTAAGTTGTTTCTTAGATGAGTGTCCTTTAACCCTTTTTAGGAAGTTAAGAAAAAGCATTTCATAGCTTCAGTGTAATAGAGTACATCTGAATTTGTAAATGCTAGATAATCAGGATTGAAAATCTGACATACAAAATAGGCTGGTTTAACTCCTCAATTAATGGCTATAGATATCATATGTGACCTACTATCTGAGGCATTAACACTTGACATGGGATCCACTCATATGAAACAAAATCTCTGACCCTTATTTCTGGGGTAACAGAAGCTGTAGGAACTTGTTATGGTGTGTAAATTCTGTATTTTTTAAAAGGAGAAATAATTGAAAGAAATATTCTAGTAGTGCCACATTTCAACTTTGCACGTATTTTTTAAATGTAAAAAGTTTCCAACATCATTTCTATGCCTGGTATCTGATGTGTTTGTGAGTAAAGACTGCCTTTGTTTTTCTCGTCCTTTCTTTTTAAAGAAATGAACTTCCACATTATGAAGTTACCTGTGAGTCCTTAGTGTCCTGTATCTCACGTAGGGACTTCCCCAGTGAAAGATAATTCATTTCAAAGGCTTTTCATTCTGTGGAAATAAATTTTATTATTGATAAGAACAATTGTAAAATAATTCTGAAGAGTATTCTTTATAAGAAATCTGTTACTTTATCTAAACCACAGCCATGAATTAGATTTAGTTTAGTGAGTTAAAACACAGACCCAGTTGAACTGTTTTACCTACTTGTTAATGACAGAGAGCCATCCAATCTATAGACAATAGGAAATATCAATCATTAAATGCACATAGATTTTTTTCTATAACATCAACCATTAAATTTAGCACCATATTTTGATCAATTTATTTACGGTATCATTTCTACAAATGCTGATAAACAATATGCAAATTAATATCTTAGTATTTGATTTAAAAATTTTATGTTGGAAGGTTGATATTAATTTTCTATCCAAAAATTCTGCTTTGCAAACAATTTTGCTTCTTATGAAACAGTAAATTTTGGAGATCCCCTTTATAAGACCAATGGTCAGAAGAAGATTAAAAGATTTAAAAAGCTGGTTTTCAAATTGGGGGGGAAATGTAGGCTTTAAAAACTAGAAAAAAAAGTATATTTTTTTGCATCTAAACTCTGCTCTAAATTTCTACCATAGAGTTATAATAGGTATTATGACTAAGGGTAAATGTTTATCTCTCTCATAAGCCTTTCTGGCAAAAATCCAGCATCAGATTCCATATTAAAACAGAGAAGGAAATGTGCATGTAGAGGGCTGGGGAGATTGTATTTGTTTGATGTAGCTTCAGTTAGAAGCATAGATAAAGATGGTAAAGTTTTGTAATGATTTTGTTGTGATAAACTTCCAATGTGCTATATACATTAAGAAAAAATAGAGCTTGACTTAATATGAATTTTTTAATGTGGCAGTAGTGTCCAATCTAAACATTTCTGAGTATTAACTTTGGTTAAATATTGTAACTCTTTTTTTGATGTAAATGAATGAGAAAAGCAAAACCTTAATGTTGTGGGTGGATATCTCTATCTGTCTTTCTTTGTTAAAGTTCCAAATGCTAGTATAATAAAAATATTCATTTGCCAAAAGGGACCACTGTGGTAAGTACAAAAAGACATTATTCTTTGGTGAGAAAGAAGCAAGAAGGCACAGAATTGGCTTTGTGGGTGAAAAGGGACAAACCTTCATCTATTTTTTTCCGTGTAAGTGTTCCAATGACAAATTTTACATGATGATTAATTTTCAGAGAGGTCTGGTAATCTTTGTTCCCATGCTTTTTCTCCCTATAGTGTATTTTGCAACATATTTTTAAACCTAAAATTATAGTGGGATTTATTCTAAATTCATTTATTTTTGTATTGAACATTAAATTGCCATGCATTTGTTAGACCTATGTTGAGATAGATCAAATAAGATAAGTGTTGCAAATAGTCTTCATTAATAATTAAATTATAATAAAATTGAAGATGTAAACTAGCAGGAATTATAACATTGATCTGCCTTTTATGTTTATAAACTAATTAGGTGTTGCAAAACTTCAAAGTCCATAGTAGATTTGTTAATTTAAGTAGTGTATTTTCTTTTTTTCCCCCTCATCCCCGT